>NC_000002.12:18721876-18873391 GCF_000001405.40 Homo sapiens | reverse complement strand
TATTTTAGCTAAACAGGAAATCAGAAATCATAAATGAAATCATGACATATTTCTTACATTCCACAAAATTTATTTTAAAATATGGCACAATTTATTTGCTTTATATTTTTACCATGTTCATTATTTACATTTTTATAAAACATTTCTAATTGCTTTTCTTTTAGTCTTGCTAGGAAAACAAATATATATTTTTGACACATAATTATTTTTGCTTATTCTATCAATTTAAATTAATATTTTTTTGAAAACATTTTTTTTTCAGCAGCACACTAACTTCCTGTACTGAGCTAGTAGTTTGTCATGAGATTTACTTTCATTATACCTTTCAGCTAATTCTAATGCACCTTGTACCTCATTTTATTTTTGTTGCTCACTCTTTAAAACTTATTTTCTTATGTCATCTAGAAATTTCCTGACAATAGTGTATGGTAAAATCGCTATAAAAGTTCGTTTTTGGTTGTTCACATATATTCTGATAACTTACTTGTGTATAGAACTCTAGATCTAAACCAATTTATTCTTAGAACTTGGAAGGAGTTCTTGGATTGTCTTCAAGCAACCATTATTGGTAATGAGAATTCTGATGCTAGTTTAATTTTCGTTCTCTGAAGTTATGTGCTTTTGCCTTCTGAGGATTTTCTCTGTCTTTTGTGTTGTGAAAAATGAAAAGCAGAATGAAAGAAATTCAATTGTGTGTGTGCATGTGTGTGTGTCTATGTTACCTTGTAAGCCTTTTGAATTGTTCTCTTTGTATTGGAAAACCACATCTTAGGCTGGGGTCGGTGGCTCACGCCTGTAATCCCAGCACTTTGGGGGGCTGAGGCGGGCGGATCACGAGGTCAGGAGATCGAGACCATCCTGGCCAACACGGTGAATCCCCGTCTCTACTAAAAACACAAAAAATTAGCCAGACATGGTGTCGGACGCCTGTAGTCCCAGCTACTCGGGAGGCTGAGGCAGGAGAATGGCCTGAACCCGGGAGGCAGAGCTTGCAGTGAGCAGAGATCACGCTGCTGCACTCCAGCCTGGGCAATGGAGTGAGACTCCGTCTCAAAAAAAAAAAAAAAAAAAAGGAAAAATCACATCTTACTACACCTCTGGTAAATTGGTTTCTATTAAGCATTTATTTAAATCTCATTCCATTTTTGTTCTCTAAAATTGTATTAAATATCAATTTTATTAGTATTCTGGATCTCTTACTTTATCATACTTATTAATTTTTACTCCCTTCTGTGAAATTTTATCAATTTTTGCTTTTACCTCTTCTGTTGAATTTTAAGCTTAGGCAGACTATTTTTAATTTCCAAGAGGCCCTTCATAATATTTCAGTTTTTCCTTTTGTTATCACAGTCTAGTCTTGTTTTGTAAAGGCAACAAGATTCCTGAATCTAATGGTTGTGATGTTTCAAAAGTTCACTATGTTCCCTAAATTATCCATTTTTGGTGGGGTTAATTGATCTTGACCTTAAAATTTTTTTTAATTCATTATCGCTATTTATTTTACTCATATTTCTGGTATGATGTTAGTTGTCTGCTATAGTCAGCAATGAAAGAGACTGTTGATTTTTGATATGTAGTTGGAATACTGTTCCTCTTATATGGCTTCCTCTTGATGCTCTTGATGAGCTAATTGGGAACTCTGGTGTAGTGACTGTCAACCAGAAGGCTTTACTGTAAGTCTACAATTAGCACTAACCTGGCTGTTACAGTATAAGTTCCCCAAGTGTCAGATGACAAAGGCCTTTCTTTAGGAGCTTTATCCTTCCTCAAGAGACAAGTTGTGTCATGTTGAAGTAGCGTACTCTTGGTTTTGTATTCTCTGTTTTGTTTGCCAGGCAGCTAGTTGCTCTCTGGGAAGGTGGTGGAGAGTATGAGAGCCAACAGGACTGCTGGTCTGAAGGTCACCTGTTCCTCTGTTTTAGGCCCCTATTTTGTACCCGCTAATTCTGAATGGGACTTCTCCCCTGTATTCTTCCATACAGATTGGCTTCTACCTCTTTCTGTGAGCCTACATGTTAGTGTGGAGAGCATTTAAATAAAATATACAAGTAAACAAATCAATAGGATTGTAATTTCAAACTGATTATTACTAGGACAGAAATAAAATAGGGTGATAAACATGGGGAAAGATACGACAGGCGACTTACGTTTTGCCTCAAAAAATGAAGACTCATTTTTAGAAGAATGATTTATAAAGAAATATAATGGAGATTCTGGATTTTTTGCTTTCATCAATGTTTCATATTATTTCCTGCACTGGTGAGGATGGACACCAAATGCAAACATCTTTCATTCAGGGCAACTGACTTAAACAGTTGTTTTTGAGACAGGGCATGAAATAAAGTATGCCTTTATATATAAATAAAAATAGTTTAAAGAAAATTAAAGTGGTTCTATAATGACTGTCAAAGGGTGGGGGCAGAGACAGAGGAACATTTAAACTTAATGGTAAACCTTTTTTAAAATTTAGTGATTACAAATAATTCATGTCTGTGTATAAAATGAGAACTTTGTATATGTCTACAACCATAGTTTCTGGCACCACGGGCTTTTGAAAATAATAAAACTAACATTGCATTACATTAAAACTATCCTATAAATCATACTTCTTATCAAATTGGATTGACCTTTCCTCTTGTTAGTCCAAATCAATGGGGTTTGACTAAATATCTGGAAATATATAGAAGAGACCAGATGTAAAAAGTCAAGAAACTAGCAAAACTCTAAACTTCATATAACTCCTGGACCAATTGTGAAGACTCAAGGGGAGAAGCAGTCTTCCTATAAGTGTCTGAAAAATGAGCCCACTGAGAAGATGGGGTGTTTAGAAAAGGCAGTGGGAGGCAGAAAGGAGAAAAGGGCATGGTCAAGAGCTTCACATTAGAATAGTAGTTTGAATGACATCAACATATTACTCAGGTTATGATTTAAAAGTGTGTGCATTGTCCATTTTTTTCCTCAACATTATCTGTTGCCACTTTATTTTTTTTTCTTTTCAGCTCTTATTGAGGTCTCTAGTTAGAAATAGAAGTATTTCCCAGTTTATGTTCCATGGAACACTAACTTTGCAGGAAGTTAGCATGTGCTGAGAAGCAGAAGCACACAAAGAGCTCTGTGACCATTATAAGTTTGGGAAATTATTTGTTAAATTGAAACGAATTTGCTTCCTGCAAAACCTCTCAGAATCTTTAGTATGCTAATGTGCACTGTGAATATATGAAGTGAGCACAGTGTATGTGCTGTTTCTTGAGCACACTGGGCCCTGAATGTTTTTGCATAACAACTTTTAGGGACTAGTGTTTCAATAAAGATACTTTATGTTATGCTGTTTTAATCACTCAGCTGTCAAGAAAGCTAGAGATCCGAGATTAAAATGTGGAATATGAGCCCAAATATTAAGATAAGTCTTTGTCTATTTGAAGGATTACTGTAGCATTTCAATTAGGCCAATATTTCTCAAACTACCTGTGATAGGGGTCCAATTTGGTTTGGTTTGTTTTGTTTTGCTAAATTACTAATTCATCTCTAATCAAACTTTTATAAAATCCAATAAAAACATATTACTCAGAAAATGAAAAAAGAACACACAAAATAAAACCCAGTTTTAACAATTAGATTCAACAGAAATAAAATTAGTCTGTGAAATTGCTATTGAAGTTTCCAAATTCAGATGCTCAATTTCTGTACTTAATCATTGCAAACCTACAAAAACAGTTTGCTGACTAGCACCAGTCCACATTACCAGTCGCACATGGAGTAGCTCTGAATTAGGGTACATGCATGCAAGAGGTATCGATATGGTAACCTACTGTTCTGAGTTTAGATAAAATGGATTTTCACAATTTTCCCCACTCATTGATGTGTGCAAATGGCAATCATGACAATGCCTTTGTGAGATGATATATTTTAAATGTAAACATTGGAACCAATGTTCCAATAAGGTTATCACAAAATACACTTTTTTCTTCCCACTTTCACCCATTCTACACACTAACAGAGTACCATAAAGATATATAGAAACCTCAAATTTGGATACTGACTTTTTATTATTTATTTAATTTAATTAATTAATTTATTTTTTGAGACAGAGTCTCGCTCTGTCACCCAGGCTGGAGTGCAGTGGCAAGATCTCGGCTCACTGCAAGCTCCACCTCCTGGGTTCACGCCATTCTCCTGCTCTCAGCCTCCCGAGTAGCTGGGACTACAGGCATCCACCACCACACCCGGCTAATTTTTTGTATTTTTAGTAGAGATGGGGTTTTACCATGTTAGCCAGGATGGTCTTGATCTCCTGACCTCGTGATCCGCCCGCCTCGGCCTCCCGAAGTGCTCGGATTACAGGCGTGAGCCACCGCGCCCGGCCAATACTGACTTTTTTTGTTTCTGTTATCCCAGTCACAGGATTCCCGTCAATGGACACTGCAACAGATTGTCTTGTCAACATTGATTTCCAGATCTTCAAATATCAGAGTGGGAATGAGTACCAGTTATGTGATTTGGCCACCCTGAAAATAACTCTATGCTAAATGTGAGCAGCTGGAGTTCAAAACTTGAATCAGATTTTTTTTTCAAATATCTGCTACTTGTGGTGTGTGTTGGAGGTGGGGGAAGTGAACACATGCTTATGTATGTATATGTGTTTATGAATATTTGTCTTGGGAGATACTCCTTAGCCCTATAAACTCATTTCCTTAGACCTTTTCTTTCTCTCTTTCTCTGTGCACCCCTCTTCAGGAGTCTGGATTCTTCCCTGCTTCATCATCAGTGATCTAGGTCTCCCAGTTCTCTTTCTCTTTAAATGCTAGGACTGATGCACTTCTAAATCTCTCGGAAGAGTTCCAATAATTTATTATGTTTTCTTGTTTGGGTGACCAATGACAGAGTATGATCCTAGACCTTTCCTCCTGCTATACCTCTTTCAAACTCCATCTCCTGTTTCTAGTACTTTAAATTTAAATTATCTTTGGTTGCAGATCTTAACTTCTGTCCTATAGGGGCAAGGAAAGGCAACATATCTGCCCAGGGCTGTTCAATTAATAGCTTTTGATGGAAACAATTTAGCTTTTATATGTTAGCAAATCATAATTTAAATGAAAGAACCAAAGGGTCTCAAGAGCTATGAAGAGGCAATTTCATATACTCTCTATTGGTTTTTCTCTTATTCCTGAAAGTAATACCAAATTGTCCATTCATATTTTTATTTGCATTTCTCATTCTGTACCCAGTTACCATCAGACTTCTAAAGGAAATTAAATAGCCTCAAGAAATAGTCCACTCACTGCTTTCTTTATATGATAGGAGGATGTCATGTTAACATTTTCAAAATAATATTAATATATATATTACCTCAAACAAATGAGCACTCCTATTTTAAGCATTATTTGTAGGAAGGAGAAGGAACAAATAATCATATATCATATGCTGAGCTCAGCCACATTTTTTCTTTTCTGAAAATCTTAAATGGACTAAGAAAATTTTAAACCAATAAATAATGATGAGAAATTGCTATTCTTTGTTCATATTTTACTCCTTGACTCAGTAACTTTAAATGGCATACACTGATCATCCCACTAAAATAATGGTAAAAGGGAGCATATCCTAAGTAAAAGGTGGGAGATATTTTGTCAATATTAAAATACGAATAAGGCATTTTTATTTTTAGAAAATCTCACAGTTTTTTTTTTTGCAAATACAAACATCTAATGAGAATATAAGCCCCTGCAGGAAAACAGCTGTTTTTTAATGCTCTGCTGCCTTCTTTGATCTCTGGGGTCCAGTTAGGTTACAAAGCACATCTTTATTAAGGATGCACAAAGCATCTGTATTAGTCCGTTTTCATACCACTTATAAAGACATACCCAAGACTGGGAAATTTACAAAAGAAAGAGGTTTTTTGGATTTACAGTTCCACGCTGCTGGGGAGGCCTCACAATCATGGTGGAAGGTGAAAGTCATGTCTCACATGGCAGCAGACAAGAGAAGAGCTTGTGCAGGGAAACTCCTCTGTTGAAAACCATCAGATCTCATGAGACTCATTCACTATCATGAGAACAGTGCAGGACCCACCCCCACAATTCAATCAACTCCCACAAGGTTCCTCCCACGACATTTGGAAATTGTGGGAGTTACAATTCAAGATGAGATTTGGGCAGTGACACAGCCTAACCATATCATTCTGCCCTTGGCCTCTCCCAAATCTCATATCCTCACATTTCAAAACCAACCATGCCTTCCCAATAGTCCCCTGAAGTCTTAACTCATTTCAGCATTAACTCAAAAGTTCACAGTCCAAAGTCTCATCTGAGACAAGCCAAGTCCCTTCCACCTACATAAAATCAAAAGCAAGTTAGTTACTTCCTAGATACAATGGGGGTACAGGCATTGCGTAAATACTGTTCCAAATGGGAGAAACTGGGCAAAACAAAGGAGCTACAGTCCCCATAAAAGTCTGAAATACAGCAGAACAGTAAAATCTTAAAGCTCCAAAATGATCTCCTTTGACTCCATGTCTTGCAGCCGAGTCATGTGGATGCAAGAGGTGGGTTCCCATGGTCTTGGGCAGCTCTGTCCTTGTGGCTCTGTAGGGTACAGCCTCCCTCCTAGCTGATTTCATGGGCTGGTATTGAGTATCTGTGGCTTTTCCAGGCACATGGTGCAAGCTGTTGGTGGATCTACCATTCTGGGGTCTGGAGGATGGTGGCCCTCTTCTCACAGCTCCACTAGGCAATGCCCCAGTAGGGACCCTGGGTGGGGACTCTACCCCACATTTCCCTTTCACACTGCCCTAGCAGAGGTTCTCTATGAGAGCCTTGCCCCTGCAGCAAACTTCTGCCTGGGCATCCAGGGGTTTTCATACATCCTCTGAAATCTAGGTAGAGGTTCCCAAACCCCAATTCTTGACTTCTGTGCACTCGCAGGCTCAACACCACATGCAAGCTGCCAAGGTTTGGGGCTTGCACCCTATGAAGCCATGGCCTGAGCTACACCTTGGCCCCTTTCAGCCATGGCTGGAGTGGCTGGGACACAGGGCACCAAGTCCCTAGGCTGCACAAAGCACAGGGACCCTGGACTTGGTCCACAAAACCAGTTTTTCCTCCTAGGCCTTCAGGCCTGTGATGGGAGGGACTGCCATGAAGACCTGTGGCATGCCCTGGAGATATTTTCTCCATTGTCTTGGGGATTAACATTTAGCTCATGGTTTACTTATGCAAATTTCTGCAGCCAGCTTGAATTTCACCTCAGAAAATTGGATTTTTCTTTCTATCACATTGTCAGGCTGCAAATTTTCCAAACTTTTATGCTCTGTTTTCCTTTTAAAACTGAATGCCTTTAACAGCACCCAAGTCACGTCTTTTTTCTTTTCTTTTTTTTTTTTTTTTTGAGACAGAGTCTCGCTCTGTTGCCCAGGCTGGAGTGCAGTGGCACGATCCCAGCTCACAGCAAGCTCCGCCTCCTGGGTTCACGCCATTCTCCTGCCTCAGCCTCCCAAGTAGCTGGGACTACAGGCACCCACCACCACGCCCGGCTAATTTTTTGTATTTTTAGTAGAGATGGGGTTTCACCATGTTAGCCAGGATGGTCTCGATCTCCTGACCTTGTGATCCGCCCACCTCGGCTTCCCAAAGTGTTGGGATTACAGGCGTGAGCCACTGCCAAGTCACCTCTTGAATGCTTTGCTGCTTACAAATTTCTTCTGCCAGATACCCTAAATCATCTTTCAAGTACAAAGTTCCATAAATCTCTAGGGCAGGGGCAAAATGTGGCCAGTCACTTTGTTAAAAGATAGTAAGACTCATGTTTGCTTCAGTTCTCAACAAGTTTCTCATCTCCATCTGAGACCACCTCAGCCTGGACCTTATTGTTCATGTCACTATTAGCATTTTTGTCAAAGCCATTCAACAAGTCTCTAGGAAGTTCCAACCTTTCCCACATTTTCCTGTCTTCTTCTGAGCCCTCCAAATTGTTCCAACCTCTGCCTGTTGCCCAGTTCTAAAGTTGCTTCCACATTTTTGGGTATCTTTTCAGCAACGCCCCACTCTACTGGTACAAATTTACTGTGTTAGTCCATTTTCAGGCTGCTGATAAAGACATACCCAAGAGTGGGCAATTCACAGAAGAAAGAGGTTTATTGGACTTACAGCTCCATGTGGCTGGGGAGGCCTCACAATCATGGTGGAAGGTGAAAGGCATATCTCAAATGGGAGCAGACAAGAGAAGAGAACTTGTGCAGGGAGACTCCCATTTTTAAAACCATCAGATCTCATGAGACTCATTCACCATCAGGAGAACGGCACAGGAAAGACCTGTCCCCATAATTCAATCACCTGACACCAAGTTCTTCCCATGACATATGGGAATTGTGGGAGTTACAGTTTCAAATGAGATTTGGGTGGGGACACAGCCAAACCATGACAGCATCCAAAATCAAAATCTCCTAAAATGTCATCAACCAGGAGAAGAAAGACTATAGACTTATTACCCACCTAACGAACCATGCACAACTTCCTTTAAGAAAAAAAATTAGCATTTTACCATCAACAAAACCATACCAGTTGGACTTCTCTCTGTCACAATAAGGTTGATAATCAGTGCTCTTTGCTTAGCAAGGCATGCAGACCTGACACGGTATCAGATACTGGTTCTGTATAATTGTTTCCTACTACTTTTGCACAGAATGCCAAAACAGCAACGGATAAAAGAATGTTAAGATATAGCGAAGCCATATATTTTAAATAGGGACACCCTGAATCTTGGGGTTTTTGTAGCTACTGTATTTCCCTCTGCCTAAATAACAAATGAAAGTCCTGTACTAGTCCAGAAAAAAAAAAAAAAGAGTGAAGCTGGGCACAGTGGCTCATGCCTGTGATCCCAGCACTTGGGAAGGCCGAGGTGGGCAGATCATGAGGTCAGGAGTTTGAGACCAGCCTGCCCAGCATGGTGAAACCCTGTCTCTACTAAAAATACAAAAAATTAGCCAAGCATGGTGGCACGTGATTGTAGTCCCAGCTACTTGGGAGGCTGAAGCAGGAGAATTGCTGGAGCCTGGCAGGTGGAGGTTGCAGTGCCACTGCACTCCAGCCTGGGCAACAGAGCGAGATTCCATCTCAAAAAAAAGAAAAGAAAAGAAAAGAATGTGATAGCTGGTACTTGGCTAATCCCTGGCTTAGCCCAGATATTTCATGACTGAGATGTGTTAATTCACATTATAATTGCATTAAAATCAGTGAGACCCATACTCCATACTCAAGGACAGGGTCCAAGAAGCCAATTAGTACTTGAGTACTGCTCAATGATTAACAGTACTCTGTTTGTGTGTGCTTGAAGTGGCGTGGGGGGCAAATACTGGGGTTACCAGGTTGGTTTGTATTTCTCTGTAAATTGGGGCCAGCTACCCAGTGGTCTGACCAACTAATGTGCATCTCATTTAATGTAACAATATACACTAAGACCTGTCAGGCCCCACTGTGGAAAATGAAGAACTGCACATTGTACCACTTCATATGGAAGTCTGCATATGGAACACTTTAAGGGTTCTTAAAAGACCCATTGGGGTTTCTAATTATTGTGAAACATCTCCTGGAATCCAGGGAGAGAAAGTTCTTGGCCGAATTACTTCTTCCATTTCAAATGTTCACTATGAAAATAATTGGATGATGAGATTTAGACAGAAACCGCTAATGAATTTTTTTAAGTCTCTTTTGCTTTTTAACGTACAGAAAATGAACATCTAAAATCAGCAAGCACGAAAGGAAAACAATATGGTGCAGTTCATTCTGAGGGTGGGATTGGAGGGGTTTCTTTTTTCTGACTTAAATGCTTGGTTTCCTGTGGTTACAAGTGGGGGGGATTTTTTTTCATTTTTTGGACATTATACAATCCTCTTGAAAATTGGACCAAGGGTTGTTTTTTTAAACTTCTGTTCTAACTTTCTTAACTCAAGCGAGCCTCCATTGTTCCTCCAGGATTACAGTTATTTCTTCAGAAGTAACTCTGACGTTAGAGAAACTTGCTTTAATCAAGCTTTAAAGTTATCTCCCCTTCCACATGCCCAACCAGAACGAGAGAAACTCCATCCTCTGAAACTACGAGCTGAGCTAGCATGCAACCAATTAGGAGCCATCACTTGAACCCAAGGCACAGAACATATTTGTTCAATTAAAACAAACAAATATGATTAGGAGTTTACAAAGTTGTACTTAGGAAAAGATGGATATCTCAAAAGAAACAATGGGTTAAGAAATCACGGCTGTGATAAAAGTAAGTTGCATGAAATCAGACAGGTGAACTTAACAAATGGGTACACGGGACTCAAACTCTGTGCAGAGCAATCAGGGTTTTGGGACTAAACGCGTCAAGCTTGCACTCTGCTGCCTGGAACTTGGAAGCTTTGTGCCAATACCCCCTATGGAGGCAATATTCCAGCTTGGGGACTTCATCTTTCTCTTCTCTTCACTTCTCCATGACATCTTAATTCACAGGAGTCAAGGAGGAGCTGATTTGATGCCATTCTTTCCTATTTTAAGCTCCACAAGTCTGAGGGTCTTGTGCTTTCTCTACTGTACTCTAGGTTAAGGCAGCCCTCCATCAGCAGTGGACTGGGAAGTGGATACTACTGTGTGCCACTGACCCATGAACATTTTCTTCAGTTGCCTCCAGTTTGGGATTGGTCATCAAGTACTGGATGGACTCTCTTCACTTTAACAGAATCAAAGCTCACGGTGGTATTTGCTTGATCAAACATTGGTCAAAATGTCCCTCTTTACCTGTTTTTTTTTTAATTAGGTAAAAGCCTAATGCAGTTTATATTTCTAAATCTCTTCTGTCTATATGTGGATTTCTACCAAATCTGCAACCATCAAACAGTAAGACTTTTACCAGATGTCCAATTAGCAGTGTTTAGATGTGGCATTTAAGTCAGAAAAAAGATATGATATAATTCCTGACCATAAAAATTGATTGTCTATTTTGAGGGGTGGTGGTGAAGATTTACGCAAATATTAACACACATTTATCTAATGCCTACAATCTGCACACTGATCACACAGCCCTTGAGAAATTACAATATTCAAACAGGCATACAAGTACTTAATGTTTGTACTACTGAGGTGCTATTTTGTTGTTTGTTTATTACTCTAAACATAGGGGATGTGTGAAAACTGTACATTTCAGCTGGCCAGCCAGTGTCCTTCCTGTTTCTGTTCTACATGCCAATGCAAGGGTCATATCCTCAGGATGGAATGCCTCATGTTTTTTTTCTCACCCCACATTTCCTGACCAGGTGTATTCAATAAGTTGCCATATCTAATAGATGTAGTTGCTGGAACTGTCAGGAGATCAACAAACATGTATTGCATACTTACTACATCCCAGGTTCTATTACATGTTCTAGGAAAAAGTTGTAAATAAAATAGATAACATTCTTGCCTTCCTGAAGATTACATGCAAGCACACACACACACACAGTGGAAGAGACAAGATGGCTGACTAGCCACAGCCAGGAAGAACTTCAGAGAGAACAAAACATCAAGTATACTGGTACCCTCTGAACAGATATTCCGAAAAAAAAGGCATTGAGAATAGAAAGAGAGAGAACACAGAGCCCAGGGCTGAAGGGGGAGGAAGCTGGGAACCCTGCATGGGGTTGCCAAGCACCAGGATGCATTCCTGCCCCCAAGTGTTTTCTAGGGAAGGGCTGAGTAAAATAGCTGTGAAGCAGCGTATTCTTACCATGGACCTCCAGGATACTAAGTGTAAGGGACCCCCAAAACCCCCATGGACATTTGAGTTTGTAGGGAGAACTGCCCAGAGAGCGGTGGAGACAGAACTCCAGACCACATGCAGCCTAGAGGGCTTGGCATGGGGATGGCTACAGTGGAGCATAGCCATGGGTGCCCATCCCCTGAAGTTTGCCATACTTCTCTAGGTGGCTTTAGCCTTTGTTATTTGCTAACCTGGAGACAGCAGGACTCTCTTGCCCATGGAATGGGACCGGTCTGATGTGAATGCCCTCCTGTCTGCTGGCCTCTCCCAGGGTCCCTGCTTTGCCATATCTGCTTGCAGCACAGCCTCCGCTTCCATGCCAAAGTGCTTGCCTACAGCCACCACCTTAACTCTCACTGGCAGCCTGTGCCCACCCATCAGAGTGCTTTTGCAGACAGACCACCACTGAGGTGCACTTGCCCACAGCCTACCCCCACCAACCCACCATTGCAAACACTCATGGGAACCTACCACCACTCCATTGTTGTGTGCATGCCTGCAGCTGCCCCACCACTGCACACTTGCCCATGGTCCCCCTGCCACCCTGTCAGTACACACTTTGCCACAGCCCCACCAGCCCATTTGTGCATACTTGCCTGCAGCCCGCATCCCTCACCACCCTGCCAGAACACAATCACCTGCAGTGCTCCTGCTGCAGCACACCATCCCATGGCCCACCAGCTGCCCCACCAGAGCACTTTTGCTGGAAAACCTGTCAGAGCATTGTTGCCATCGAACTGTGAACACATCAGCCCCTCCAGTGCAGCAGATGTTTGATTTTGAGGAGACTGACATCAAAATTGTGGGCCTGGCCCCAGCCTCCCAGGGTTAGAGCATGCATATTCTAGGAGTACTGAGCTGAGCCTTGGCCCCCTGAAAGCATCCAGAAATAAGGTCTGTCAACTAAACCCAATTTATACCACAGTCAAACCCTCAAGGGCATCAAAGAATATAAACGCAAAGAGCCCCATTCAAAGTACAACAACTTCAAAGATCAAAACAACATAAGCCCACACAGATGAGAAAGAAGTATCACAAGAATTTTGGCAACTCCAAAAGCCATACTGTTTTCTTACCTCCAAATGACTGCACTAGCTCCCCAGCAATGGTTCTTAGCCAGATTGAAATGGCTCAAATTATAGTTATAGAATTCAGAATCTGGATAGCAAGCAAGCTCAATGAGATACAGGAGAAGGTTGAAACCCAATCCAAAGAAAACAGCAAAATGATCCAAGAGTTGAAAGATGATACAGCCATCTTAAGAGAGAACCATACTGAACTTCTGGAAATGAAAATTTCACTACAGGAATTTCATAATATAATTGGAAGCCATAGTAACAGAATAGACCAAGCTGAGGAGACAATCTCAGAGCTCAAAGATCACTCCTTCAAATCAATACAAGCAGCCAAAATTTTTAAAAAAGAATTTTAAAAAATGAACAAAACCTCCAAGAAATATGGGATTAAGTAAACAGGCCACACCTACAACTCTATGCATTCCTAAGAGATGGAGAGAGAGCAAGCAACTTGGAAAACATATATGAAGATATTGCCCATGAAAATTTCCCCAACCTTGCTAGAGAGATTGACATGAAAGCTCAGGAAATTCAAAGAATTCCTGCAAAATACTACACCAGACGACTGTCTTCAAGACACATAATCATCAGACTTCCAAGGTCAACATAAAAGAAAATCTTAAAGGCAGCTAGAGATAAGGGGCAGGCCACATATAAAAGAAACTCCAACAGGTTAACAGTAGACCTTTCAAAAAAAACTTTCCAAGACAGAAGAGATCAGGTGCCTATATTCAGTATACATAAAGAAGAGAAATTTCAACCAGGAATTTCATATCCAGCCAAACTAAGCTTCATAAGCAAAAGAGAAATAAGATATTTTTCAGACAAGCACATGTTATGGGAATTCCTTACCACTAGACATGCCATAAAAGAGGTTATTAAGGAAGTGCTAAACATGGAAATAAAAGACTGATATCTGTCACCATGAAACACACTTAAGTACCTAACCCACTGACACTATAAAGCAACTATACAATCAAGGCTACATAACAACCAGCTAAAACACAATGACAGGATCATATCCTCACATACAAATATTTACAATGGGCTAAATGCCCCCATTTAAAAAGCACAGAGTGGCAAACTGAATAAAGATACAAGATCCAACTGTATGCTGTCTTCACGAGACCCATCTCACATGCAATGACACCTGCTGGCTCAAAGTAAAGAGATGAGGAAAGATCTATCAAGCAAATGGAAAATATAAAAGAGCAGAGATTGCTATTTTTATTTAAGACAAAATAGACTTTAAACCAACAATGATCAAAACGGACAAAGAAGAGCATTACATAATGATAAAGCATTCGATTCAACAAAAAGCCTTAACTATTCTGAATATATATGCACCCAACATTGGAGCACCCATATTCATAAAACAAGTTCTGAGAAACCTATGAATAGACTTACATAACTACACAATAATAGTGGGAGATGTAAACACCCCACTCACAATGTTAGACAAATTAATGAGACAGAATACTAACAGAGATATTTAGGACCTAAACTTGACATTTGACTAAGTGAATCTAACAGAGATCTACAGAATAGTCTTCCCAACAACAACAGAAGACACATTGTTCTTATCTGCACGCAGCACATAATCTAAGGTCGACTATGTGCTTGGCCATAAAGCAAGTCCCAACAAATTCAAAAAGCTGAAATCATACCAACCATACAGTTGGACCACAGCACAATATAAATAGAAAACAATACCAAGAAGATCTCTCAAAACCATAAAATTACATAGAAATTAAACAACCTACTCCTGAATGACTTTTGCATTAAGAATGAAATGAAAATAGAAATCAAGAAATTCCTTGAAACTAATGAGAACAAAGAAAAAACATAGCAGAATCTCTGAGACACAGCTGAAGCAGCATTAGGAGGAAAGTTTATAATGCTAAATGCCTACATCAAGAAATTAGAAAGATCTCAAACTAACAACCTAACATCACACCTAGAGGAACGAGAAAAACAAATGCAGTCCAACTCCATGGTAGCAGAAGCAAAGAAATAATCAAAATTAGAGCTGAACTGAATGAAATTCAGATGCAAAAATCCATACAAAAGATTAACAAAACAAAAAGCTGGTTATTAGAAAGAATAAGCAAGATTCATAGACTGCTAGCTAGATTAATAAAGAAAAAAGAGACAGGATCTAAACAAATACCATCAGAAATGACCAAAGTGGCATTACCACTGATCCCACAGAAATAAAAATAACCCTCAGCAATCAGACAAGAGAATGAAATAAAAGGCATCAAAAGAGAGGAAGAGGAAATCAAACCATCTCTCTTCACAGATAATATGATTCTATATCTAGAAAACCCCATAGTCTCTCCCCAAATGTGCCTAGAATGGATAAACTCCAGTAAAGTTTCAAAATGTAAAATAAATGTACAAAAATCCGTAGCATTGCTATACACCAATAACATCCACAACGAGAGCCAAATCAAGAATGCAATCTCATTCACAATAACCACAAAAAAGAATAAAATACCTAGGGGAATACAGCAAGTCAGGGAGGTAGAATATCTCAACAACAAGAATTACAAAATACTGCTGAAGGAAATCAGAGATGACACCAACAAAGGGAAAACCATTCCATGTTCATAAATAGGAGGAATAAATATTGTAAAATGGCCATACTCCCCAAAGAAATTTATAGATTCAATGCTATTCCTACAAAACTACCAATGTCACTTTTTACAGATCTTTTAAAAAATCTAAAATTCATATTGAAACAAATAAGAACTGGAATAGCCAAGGTGATCCTAAACTAAAAGAACAAAACTGGAGGCATCACACTACTGAACTTCAAACCACAGTAAATGGTTATAGTAACGAAAACGGCATGTAATGGTACAAAAATAGACACATAGACCAGTGTAACAGGTTAGAGAACCCCGAGGTAAAGCCGTACATCTACAACTATCTAATCTTTGAAAAAGTTGATAATAACAAGCAATAAGGAAAGAATTCACAATTCAGTAAATGTTTCTGGGGTAACTGGCTATCTATATGCAGAAGATTGAAACTGGACCCCAACTATTCACCATATACAAAAATCAACTCAAGAGAGATTAAAGACTTAAATTTAAGACCTAAAACTGTGTGTGTGTATATATATATAAAATCTAGGAGTTTACAGTTAAGAGGAAAACCTAGGAAATACCTTTCTCAACATAAGCCTTGGCAACAATTTTAGGACAAAATCTCCCAAAGCAACTGCAAAAATACCCCCAAAATAGACAAGTAGGACCTAATTAAACTAAAGAGCTTCTGCATACCAAAATAAACTATTAACAGAGTAAATAGACAGCCTACAGAATGAGAGAAAATACTTTCAAACTATGCATCCAACAAAGGTCTAATATCCAGAATCTGCAAGGAACTTAAATCAACAAGCAAAAACAAACAACTCCATTAAAAAATGGGCAAAGACATGAACAGACACTTCTCCAAAGAAGACATACATGTAGCCAACAAGCATATAAAAAAATGCTCAACATCACTAATCATTAGAGAAATGCAAATCAAAACCATAATAAAATACCATCTCACACCAGTCAGAATGGCTATTATTAATAACAGATGTTGATGAGGTTGTGGAGAAAAGAGAATGCTCATA
Source organism: Homo sapiens (assembly GCF_000001405.40). NCBI lineage: Eukaryota > Metazoa > Chordata > Mammalia > Primates > Hominidae > Homo > Homo sapiens. The sequence goes on along the minus strand of NC_000002.12, from coordinate 18,856,924 downwards.
CACTGCTGGTGGGAATGTAAATTAGTTCAGCCACTGCAGAAAGTAGTTTAGATATTTCTCAAAGAACTTAAAACAGAACCACAATTTGATCTAGCAATCCCATTGCTGGGTACACACCCAGAGGAATATAAATCATTCCACCAAAAAGTCACATGTACTCCTATGTTCACTGCAGCACTATTCACAATAGCAAAGACATGGAATCAACCTAGATGTCCATCAGTGGTGGACTGGATGTACATCAGTGGTAGATGAAGAAAATGTGGTACATATACACCATGGAATACTATGCAGCCATAAAAATAATGAGATTATGTCCTTTGAAGCAACATGAATGCAGCTGGGGCCATTATACTAAGCCCATTAACACAGAAGCAGAAAACCAAATACTTCATGTTCTCACTTATAAGTGAGAGCTAAACACTGCGTACACATGGAGGCAAAGAGGGGAACAGAAGATGCAGGAGACTACTTGACGGGGGAGGATAAGAGGAGAGTGAGTGCTGAAAAACTAGCTATTAGTTACCTTGCTCAGCACCTAGGTGATGAAATCATTTGTACACTAAACCTCAGCAACACACAATCTACCCACATAACAAATCTGCACATATACTCCTGAACCTAAAATAAATACTGAAAAAGTAAAGGAAAGAGGCAACAAAGCTAAGTTAAATACATATATGTAGATATACACTATATATATATATGGTGTGTGTGTGTGTGTGTGTGTGTGTGTGTGTGTGTGTATACACAGTGGTAAGTGGTATGGGGAGAAAAAGTAAAGCAGAATAGAGGTAAAATGAGTGCATGAGAAGTTAAATACTTCAATTTACCTGCCTATTGAGTACCTACTATATTCTCTCCTAGGCTCTGGTTATACAATACTGACTAAAACAGAACAAAACAAAAAATCTCTTGTGAAAGTGCTTTATGTTCTAGAAGAAAACAGAATCTAGATAAATAAATAACTGAAACAGATAGCACATTCAATGATAATGAGTGCTGAGGATAAAAATAAGACAAGGCAAAGCTATAGGGAGTATTATGGTGAGGGCATCTTGGGTGCAACGTACTAAGAAGGTACCATTTGTACAAAGACAAACAGAGGTGAGCTATATGATAACTGGTAGAAGTACACAAAGAACATCCCCAGATGGCTTCAGATGTCAGCCTCTGAATGGGGAAGTGACATCTGTTCATTTTCTGTTTCACACAGAGCTTGAGTGTGCCAGAGTAGGAAATGGGGAGTAAGTATCTTGTCTTTTTGCATGTAGTCTTTTTTTCACTACCCTGACGAAGGTTTTTTTCCTTTTCTTAATACTCTTTATGCCTTACTGTGGGTGGAGATTCCTTTCAAATTTTGACATTTTTGTCAAAATCTTTAATTTTTATCATTGTACATGTTTTCATAGTATTTTATTAGGAAGTCAATAAAACACACACACACACACACACACACATCAACAACAGCTGTTGCCACCAAACACTGCATTGAATTATGAAATAATTTATTTAATCTTAAAAACAATCCTGCAAGATTTTCACCAAAAGCTCCAATTTTATAGGTGAGAAAACCTAGAAGAACTGTGAAATGAATCACCCAAGATTGGTCAAGTAATTCCACAAACTAGTTTGGTAAATGTGGGCATCTTTGGGACAGTGAAGTCTATGTTTTCCCTTCTATCCCATACAGCCTAGTGGCAGAGACTGCTAATTGCATGCTCAATGTTCATTTTCCCTCTTCATTCTTAGTAGCAAAAGTTCTGTATTATTGTGTATAGCAATGTAACCAGCTATGGAACATTTCTCAGGCTTTCTTGCATCTAGGAATAGCCAATGAGATGTGGGGAGAAGTTTCTGGGTAGAGATTGCAGAAATGCTCTGCAATCTGTAAGGGCCCTGACTCAGTTGGGAGGTGTGTTGTTTGTTCACTTGCTCTTCCTTTTTTTCTTCCTATAACATGGATGTAACAGCAAGACTTCCAAGCTGGCACCTTGTGATCTTGAGGATGGATATCATGTTTAAGGATAGTGCAGCAGAAACATGAAAGAGGCCTAGAACTTTGATGGTAGCATGCATCAACCACACTCTCCCTGGACTGTCTCCTTCCTGATTTCTTTTACTCAAGAGAAAAGAAATCTCCTAACAGGCTTAAAACACTGTTATTTCACATCAATCTCATCAACAGTCAAATGCAATCTTTAATTCATACAGTCCTCTCTATTGCATAATATACTATGATAGGAAGTGACATTTACTTTGCCAGGCCACATTTATGTAATAATTATTAAGAGCTCTTTGCTTCAAAAGCAAACAAACGTTCATATGGAATGCAGTGCTTGGTACATAAAATGTGTATATATATACATATTTGTATATATACATATATATACATATTTGTATATATACATATATATACATATTTGTATATATACATATATATACATATTTGTGAGATGGAGTCTCGCTCTGCCACCAGGCTGGAGTGCAATGGTGTGATTTCAGCTCACTGTAATCTCTGCCTCCCGGGTTCAAGCTATTCTCCTGCCTCAGCCTCCCGACTAGCTGGGATTACAGGCATGGGCCACCATGCCTGGCTAAGTTTTGCATTTTTTTAGTAGAGATAGGGTTTCACTATGTTGGCCAGGCTGGTCGTGAACTGAAATGTGTTTTTAGAACACCGTGTTGAATAAACAGAGTAGTAATATTTTATAGAAATAGATTTCCAAACCATCAGCTCTAGCATGACAGCAGGGCCTCACTTGAGAGTTACTGAGGCCTAACTGGCAAGTACAACAAAGACAGCTTGCTTAGACATGACCAAGATTCTTTGGCTAGAGGTGAGGGTTGCCCATATTCTTCTGTGTTAGCCTCAGCCTTTCTACTACTTTGATCATCTTTAATTCTCTATCCATGCTATCCCCCCTGTTCTAGCAAAAGGAGAATCACTGTGATAAAAATGTGTCAGGAATTTCAGTGTTATTGAAAGTTTTTGGAAGTAGAAAAATTTCAAAAATAAATTCTTTTGTTTTAGTTTTGCTTATTAAATGTCAAAAAACCTTGATGATTATGGACTTATGTTCACATAAAGCAAACTAACCACCTAAGAGTTTCTTTGCTTTCTTTGTCATTTGGTTCCAAATCAATAATTAACTATTATTGGTCTATAGATCCAACTGAATCTTTGTGAATGCCATGGTGAATTTAACTCTGCTGACATGACCTCTGTGAATAAGGCAGAAGCCAGAATGGCATCACACACTGGGAGTGGAGGATCTTCTCAAGGACTTAAAAGGCAGAGATCCATTCAACCTCTGGATAGAAGGCATTCTCAGCAAAGGACTCTAGCTCAGTTCTGTTTGACCAAAAGTAGGTGCTCTTATATTTTCCAAATCTGTCATTTGTATGCTTCAAATTAGTATTCAATGAACACCAGATATTTGAGTGTATGCAGGTGGAAAACAAATATGTTCCACTTAGACCCAAAGCCTGGGAGTACCTGGGGTTTGAACATCAGATAACACTTATGACCTCAGAATTGTAGGTGAGGAGGTAAGGGGAAAGGCAGTGGGATTGTTTGCATTCTCTACCTATGAACTTTTCCTTGTAAAGGTTCCCTCCTGGGTTCCCCTTCTACTCAAATTAGATTCAATCCAGCAAATATTACTGTAGGCTCATTATTGAAAAATATTGTTCTAGGCTAGGTGCTATGGTTGTTATGAAACTAAATCAGACTTGGACCCTATCCATTCCTCAAGATGCACTTTAAATCCTACATCTTCAGGGAAGCCTTTTAAATACTACAAATCAAATGTAGCCACTCACTCCTCTAAACTGTGATACTCTAGTACTGTAATTCTAAAATTATAGAATCAACATGTTCTGCTCAAGGTACTTAATTTAATGCAATCCAATAGAACATTAGGCAACATTTATGTTCTAGGCCCTGTGGAAAATTCTATGATAGAAAGGAAAATAAGACACAGTTCCTGCCCTCCAGGATCTATTCGTTTATTAGAAAAGAAAAATACATAAGCAATTGATTATAATCTTATGAAGTATCTATTCCACTACTTAAGACAAATGACCTAGAAGAATGCACAAAAAATGTGACATCCATTGGCATTGAGTGCACAACACCCATCTCCCCCTTATTCTTTAACAACAGATCTCCAAATTTTTTCAGAGCAGTGATGTGTCCAGCCTTAAGCGATGGGTTATAATCAATTTTGACCAATTATGATAATCCTGTTTCCTTGTTTTCCAGCCTTCCTTCAAAGCCTTTTTATACAATTCACATTCAGCCAGTGAGCCTAAAGGGAAAGTCAGTCATTTTGAAAGACTTGGTTGGCACAGGTCCTTTGCTCTTTCATCCTCTTCCAGCCTGAAGCACAAATGTGATGTTTGTGGGTGCAGCAGCCCTGATGGAGACCTGAGAGTTGGAGCATGTTGTCTGAAATTCAACATCCATCAGCAGATGGCATAGGAGGTCCCTCCAAGGGCGATTAATTTTGCCATACCTCAATTGGCTGTTTGTCCAGCATCATCCCAGCAGAGGAGGGTCTTCTCAAAATCATGCACACTCTTTCTTGATTTCTTTTAAAATCAAGACCCTAACCCTTGTCTTTGTGGGACAGGAAAATCATAAAGAAGTTGACACTTGCAAGATTAGAGCACTGAACTAAAGCCAGTGGTTACCCACCTCAGGCTTCTTGATTTATTAGAAAAATAAACCCCTTTTGGTGTAAACCCCTGCTGCTCACAGACTCTGTTACTTGCAGGATAAAACATTCCTGACTCATACCATGTGCCTAAATTATACTGCCTGAGGTGATTTGGGAAGAGGAGACTTGTTCAGCATCATATTCAAGAATTATTTACCACCTTAGTTGTCAATTATATCAATACTTATGTGTATAGGCCTCAAGTGCATTCTGAAAATGAAGGAGAAATCATGCTTCTTTATATCCCTTGACACTGCCTAGGACCGTTCTCCCTTCATTATAAATTTATCATCTATGCGTATTTCAGATTAGAAAAAGGAAAGGCAAGGAACCCAGATCACTAAGATTTCCTGTCCAGGCTCCAAAAGCGTTAACGTTTTGCTTTGCCTGCCTTCTCCTCAGAACCAATTGAGAAGTCGTACCTGTATATCGAGGCAGTGAGCCACCATAGTCCCCACATCCCAGTACCCTAGGGCTCCAGTGTGCAGAAAAGTATATGGCCAGCAGACAAGGAGAACCACGGCACTCAATATTTCCCACTAAGCTCATCAAGAATGAAAAATGGTAACTGCATTTAAAAATGTAGAGAATACAAAAAGCTGTGTTGAAGGATCCTGAACCTCATATTTCTCTCTAGCCATCGAGTTTTGTCCCATGGGCTTCCATTGGTGTAAGACTAACCATGTTCTGAGGAAATGGCACTTTGAGTTGAGCTCCAGTGAAGTCTGCACCAGCCTTCTGGTAATTGGCAGGGACGGATGCAGGAGTGTAGTTGAAACATCTTTAAGAAGTTTGCCTTTGGTGGCAAGGCCATGCTTGGAAGTCCCCATTTGACATATGTCAGTGTCTTGCTCTAACATGAACTTCACGGAATCTGACAATGGTAAAACAAAATCGGCCCCCAAGTCAAAGCTTACAATGTTGCACCCACTAGATAGAGCAATTCTTGATTATCCAACCCAAATATGCTTTTATATTTTTATTTTCCCCTTGATACTATCATGTGCATTTTGCTACTTAACTCTGGGTAGGAATCTGGGGATCTTTTTTCTTCACCAGCTTCAGCTACTTACTACACACATGGTTTTGAGTTTAAAGTCCTGTAAAGCTTTAAAACTCACTAACTCTACCATATACATAACTATTATTTTATTTCGTTAAAAAATTCAGATGATTTGAACATGTTTCGTCTGCAGAAATGAAGACTAGAATAGGCATGGCAGCGTTTTCATTTTGTGTCAAGCCCTCAGACTAAGAAATTAGTTAGTGATGACAGAGGGAGAAGCAAAAGCTTTAAATTTCTAAGTAAGGTAATAGCTACATATGAGAAAATGACTTAAAAGGTGGCTAAGAGCAACCATAATTATCCAAAGCCCTTATATGGCCAATTCCATGATACACATAATACCAAAGACCATGTTTTTACTGGTCTTGTTTGGAGACAAGTTGTGATAGCAACCATAAGCATATTATCTACCATTTATGTCACACTTATTGTCTGCCAGACACTGATTTCTGTTTTTCATGTATATTATATCTCCCCTCTAACTGTGAAAGTTATATATTTTTACCTTCATTTTAAGATTACAAAATTGAGACAATCTGCCTCCGGACCTCTAGATAGATGGATTTCAAAGCCAAGAATATTGGCCCCCAAACATATCACTATGTGACACTGGCTTTCAAATAAAAAGGCACTGGGGAATAATAACCAGTTAAAGTACTCATTGAAGATGCACTCATCCTGCTTAGAAATTCAGGTCTTTAGGCACCAGAGGTGACTTTACCAAAGACTGAGCTGTGAGCTTCCTGAATATGTATGGAATCTGCTACCACAGGCCCCACTTTGGGCCCCAGCAGGTATTTCTAATTATCCTGCCTCATTCCCCTACCAACTTAACTGCCTTCTGTAAAAGGGTGAAAGACGTTTGTAAAGAAGAACTAGACCACCCAAATCATTTATCTTGTAAGCTCCAAGAGGGCAGGGACTTTATTTTATTCTTTAATGACTTTCCCATAATTGGATGAGTGCCAGGCTCAAACTAGGTATCCAAAAACTACAGCACTTCATGAATGAATCAACAAATGACTCTGACACAGATTCTGTGGTCAGTACACCTGATCAGTCACATAGATACCCTCCTTGGTTTTATGTTGATACTAGATAAAGAAACCAGAGCCTCTTTCTTCAATAGAACATCTTTTACTTCTGCTTTACAAATGACACGGTCACAGTTCCTGATTGCAAAGTAAAAACAGATGTAAGATTGAAAGCTTTACATTCATAAGTAAGGTAATGGCTAAAAAATATGAAATTACTTAACAGATTTCTAAGAGCAATAATACTTACAAAAAATGCTTATATGGTCAATTCTATGATACATGTAATACCAAGGACAACATTTTCAAGATGACTAGGAGTATCAGGTCCTACACGTCCTTTCAGAAGACAGAAAGGATAGTTTAGGAATTAAGAGCATGGAGTTTGAAGCCACAATGTGCAACCATATGCTGGGATTTCAAGCATATTTTGAGTTTGGTCATATGATCACTGCCTCATTTACTAAAGAATGTATTGCTATCTTGGCCTGTTTCTCTTAGCTCTATTCAACTGACCTTCAAAGAGCATAGGCTGAGTCTTCAAGCAGACCTCAGTTAAATTCATACTCCATTACTTAATGGGAGGGTTTTCTCCTGTTTAAGATGGAGATAATATTACCAACTTCATATGATTAGAGAATCAAATGAAAGAGCCAATAGAACATGTCTGGGGCAGACAAGAAATCCAATAGTATTAAACAGAAACCTTGTTATCAAAGGCACTGCGCTCTGTATGTTTATGTATACCTAAATATTTTCTCTTGCTCGTAACATACAGACTTGGATTACAAAAATTAATTTTTAAAAAGTATCCTGTGATTTTAAATATTATATAATGTCAACATGTATAAAATGCATATTATGTATATATATCTATATGGGTAAATATAGATATATGTAAATATGGGTGTGTATATACAGTTTTATATACATATACAGTGATTACATACAGTATATATGGTGACTATATATACTGTATATACAGGGATTATATACACATGGACATATGTATGTATGTATGTATGTATGTAATAATTTACAGTTCTCTATATACCCTTCCTCAGTTCATAGTCCACTCTCTCCTAGGTATAACTACTTTCAAACCTTGGAAATATTTCTTCAGGCATTTATCTCACATTTTTAAACAACATATGTATGATTGGTCTCTTGACTTGTCTGTCTTAGATGTTATCCCCACATCCTCCTTTCATGGTAGATGAGAATTTGCTCTTTTCTACCCCACCTTTCCCATCCTCATTTTCTTGTTAAATTGTAATCTCAATGCTGTGCTTACCATTTAATGATTATCCCTTAAGTCCCTGGCTCACTCACTGTCTGTAAATTCTTGCAGGCCTTATATTTAGATGGTTTTATTCTGATAATTAATTGTGTTAAGTTACTTTGAATGAATTTAATTTCACATTATTCCTGGTCACAGAGGGTCTAAATGCATTGTACTTTGTAAAAAATAAATAAAACAATAATAGCATGAAGGTGTTTATTAACAAATATATATCAAGTTAGAGTTTTTAGAAATTTTTAGGGCTACATTCCAGATGGATAAAGTCATTCTTTACCTAGTGATTCTGGAAATGATTAAACTAACATATTTTCTTACCATAACATCAAAAATCTAGCTAATAATAGAATGATTTTTTTAATCTCTTATTATATCAATTATCCAGATAACAAAAATGTTCTAAGGTATTCACATAGATTTGAGTGTCTATTACTTGACAAATGCTTTCACACAAGTTTTTTATTTAATAACACATCCTTTTAATGTTAGTGTAATCATATCTCTTTAGGAGAAGAACTGAAGGCATAGAATGGATAATTAATTTCCTAAGGGCACAGTAAATCTGAGACCCAGGATTTGGATGGATTTTTGTTCCCAGGGCAAGCGCTTCATCTATACCATCACAGTGGACTTCTGTGCATTCTGCTTAAAATCCCTAAGCTATTATGACGGTATGACTGCAATGTGAGATAGTCCAGCTTACTCTACAAGGGGGTGAGTGTAGCAAGAAATGCTAACCAAAAGTGATCATAGTTTAGGGATCATGACAAGTCAATTTACCATATCTTCCCCAGTCACCACACAATTTTTTCTTATAGATACACGGGGGTCTATTGCCAAAATCTTCTCCTAAAGTTATCACACCACCCACCCAAACTCACCATAAGTAAGTCCCTTTCATTTGGTTAAACCCACTCTGCTTCCCTTTCCTTAGGGGCAAAGGAAATGACAGGCCATATTATTGGTGTCAGAGTAGTACATTCACTATGTCATAAGCCTTCTACCTCTTCCAAGATAGGATGCTCATCCTTGTTCAAATCATCTGGGAGTCTGTGACTATAGCCGCTCCCAGGATTGAGAATCTTTCATGGTTTTGCTCCCAAGTGATGTTTCTTTGTGTTCTCTGACTACCTGGATTCCGTCATTTTGTCTGCCTCAACATCCCACCAGCAGTTCAATAAATTTTTACTGAACTGAACAATAAATTTTTACTATGTTCCAAGCACTGTGCTAAACACTGAGAGGTAATATGATAGATGAGAAATAGATTTGTGATCTCAAGAAGCTTACAGTCAGATGATGGAGGAAAGTCTACGAATAGGCAATTCTAATGTTTTAGCCTGGGGTCTGGAACAGAAGTAAAGTGATGTCAAGTACTGCAGAGCAGGTGGGAACTGGCCACATGGAGAAGCAAGTGGTGAGGAAGCATCCGAAGACGGAGACACTGATCAGCACGGTCCAGAAGGAACTGTGCTGGTGCTACCTAACATGAGAGGTAGGGGGTTAGAGACAAGATTGGGACATGACAGGGCCCTTTTGTCTAGTGACTTACCTTACAGATCATGAGAAACCATTGAAATGTTTCATCAGGGGAGAGGATTAGATTTGCACTCTAGAGTGGCCACAATGGAGGAATATATCAAAGACTAATTGAGTTTAAAAAGACTGGAATGAAGTACAGAGACCAGCCTAGACAATGTTGTAGGCTTTTAAAGATCTGGCCTGGACTAGTGCAATAGCAGTGCAGAGTAAGATAAATGTTTGGATTTGGGAGAGATCTAGAACTGTCTCAATGTCTCTGAATTCTTATCCATCGTTTCGAGGGCTACTCATAGTCTGGGACCTCTGTCCCTACCTGCTGGTCGCTGCTGACCATGCCTAGTATGGACTTTGGGTGAATGGTCAATCTGTTCCCTAAAAGTTCCTAACACTGGGACTCCAGGCACCCAAACTTGCTACTGCCCAGGCCATTTGGAGTCTAAATTCATCCTGAAATTATTCTAAATTATGTGCACTGTTAGATTTTCCTTCATTTTTATGGCACCAAATCACTTATTTGCAATACAAAAAAAATTTAAAATGATCTTAAAACTTAAGTGTTTTCTTATGTTTGACCAAACTGTTTCGTCCACAGAGTTAAACCTGAATTAATGTGCGATATTAAAGACTAAAATGTTCTGTCACAGAGATATTAATGCATTTGATTACAAAGTGCTGGCTTAGACCCTTCTGGATGTAGATGCTTTGTATTACCATTCTGAAATCCAAACAGTTTGATTCTGGCTTCCAGGGTTACTAATTGTTATTATGGGACTGTATCTAAATTTTCCTCATGTTTTTGATGCAGAATCAATGACTGTGACTTGTATTTTCAACATGTAATGATCGAACTGAGTCTCTCAGTTATTTTTATCAATCCAGTTATATATATACCATATATCACCATTTTGTGCACTTTTAAACTCATCAAGAAGTTCCACTGGGACAGCAGCTGCTCCATTTAAAATGTTCAGAAATATCTCTGCCAGTTGAAAAAAAAACTAAGATTCAAAGACCTATTCAACCTTTTCACTGATATTTCAAAGCAACAGCTTATTTAATTAAAAGGAAACATTTAAAAATGAATATTTTTTTGCAGTATCTTAGCAACAGGTGATTGAACCCATGCCTAGAACAAAGTGTTGAGATTCTTCCAAAAGGACCACATACTAGTGATATCTTCCTTTTAACAAATGGAATAAATCTAATATTGTTTTGGACAAGCTGTACTGGATTGCATCATAATATGAAATCCTGACAACAAAGCCACAATAGGGGCAGTACATGCAGAGAGTAAAGACTGGGTCCTATAGATTCTTACAGCTTTTCAGGGAAAAAAGCACATACCATGAGCTCCTTTGTGCCCCGGCTTCAACTCAAGTATCTAAAGTGACAGTGATCAGGAAAGTTTATTCCTACAGTCCCTGGACATTCAAAACTCAACTGCACAGCAGAAAACTCCAAGGCAGAGAGCTGTCTCCATTCTTCATAGCCTACCCTAAGCTGGAGGTTCACTTAGAATCAGTGATTCTTAACATGTTTGAGAATTCAACGTAAGCCTCACTGTAGAAAATTGCACCTTTAAGATGCACATGAAAAGTATTTACATGATTTCTGAGGGATTTTAGAACTGGGTAAACCCAACGTTGATTTTCATAATTGTCCACAATTCCCTGGTTATAAATCCCTCTGTTCTATATTACCAGTCTCAGTGGAACCAGGAAGATGTGTGGTGACTGAGGTGCCTCGCTCTGAGGTTCTGTGCTCATGACAAACTGTAACTCATGCATTCATATGGGCAGAAAGTGGAGGGAGAATGTTAGAGTGTAAAGTCCCATTTATGTTAATTAAGGCGGAAGTGATTGTTTTCTTTTTTAAGGTGGTTCTGCCATTGGGCATTTACAAACTGATTGGCAGATGAAGTGTTAACCACTAAAGAAAACCTCCTTTTAAAAATTATAAGCAAAACAACTTTTAAGGTACTCTCAAGAATGTCTTCAGTAAAGGCCAGTTGTCCAGCTACATTTATAAGCAGTCCCAAGTATATAATAACAACCCATATATTTGCTGCAATAATGAGATTATATATGTGAAATATCTAATGTAGCATGGTAACGTACCAGTGCCCAGCATATTGTAGTAATCATTATTATAGTTACTGGATAGTATTTATAATCTTACAGTGTGATACAATTGCTAGCATCATTCCTGACTCAATTTAGGTAAAGCCAAAAGAGACCACACATTGAAATGGAGAACAATTTAAAATAGGTTTCAGGTCTGTTGGAATCTCTCCCTGACCAGAGGAAATCTAGCTCTTTTTAATTTTTATAATCATTCATCTGGCAAATATTTACCATTTTCAGAGTTCTAATTTATGCCAGGCACTGTGCTAGGTGCCAGAGATTTAAAACTTAGTAAAATGTGGTCTCTGACTTCAAGAGATATGTAATCCAGAGGGAGACAGAGGCACATAAATACATAATTGCAATAGTGTATGGAAAGTGAAAGAACACAAGGGGGATCAATCTAATCTGAGTTGGCAAGGGAGGTATCAGCTCAGTTTGCCCAGAAACAGAGACTGAGGCCATTGTGACCCCAGAGAGCCAGGACAGAGGAGAAGTCAGGAGAGAACAAATACAAAGATGAGAGGGCTCACTACCAATGTGGCAAGTTTTGTGATAAATAGGAATGATTGTTCTTTTTCTCATATCATCTTGAGAGAAAATATTAACTACCTGTTCTCAGAATAATAAGCAGGATAAGGGAAGGAAGAATAATTTTTCCACTGGCTTTTTTCTGTCCTGTCTCTCACTGGTAAAAATCCATTAACTCATGGCTTCCTTGGACTAGAGACCCCGGGGTCCAGTCAACCTCTCTCTGTCAGCTGGTGTCGTGCACAACACTCCTCAAACTATAGTGGAGACCAGAAGTGGCGAAATTGACACCGTAACTGTGGAACCAGCTCAAGCTCTTGCCCAGATCTTTAGTCTAGAAAGAACACATGGCCAAGATCCAGAGGGAAGGATAGGTATAGCTGCATGGATTCCGGGTGGTTCAATAATTGCATCTAGGACAAAGAGGAAAGAGGTTGCCTCTTAGAGACCATCAGAAGTTGCCAGGCATCAGGACTTGAGGGGGAACAGAGTATTTCATAGAAGAAAATTTCATGCTTTAACAAAGGTTGAGGTGAACAGAGCTCTAACCACAAGCACTGAGTGGAGAGCATATGAAACTCAGAGGAAGGGAAGCTCATAACCGGAGAGAACAGGTTGCCCCCTCCAGCAACTGTATCTGTGGGAAAGGACAGGAACAACCAGAGAACCTGAGGTATTTCCTCCTGTAGAAGCACTCTGCATCGAAAGTACATACTTTCCCTCTGGGGATGCAGATAACCCTTCCTCCCCTTTCTATTCCACCGCTGCCTGTTCTTGCATGCATGCATTCACTCCTCGAGCATCTATTCAGCTCTACCCACCAGGTGCCATCATAGGCATCTGGGGCACAGAGTGAATAGGTCACCCCTGAGGTCCACACATCTAGACTGTGACAGGCACATAAACAGTGCCTGGTGGTCAAGACGCCAGCAAAAAAATGATGGAGGCATAGAAGAGGGGCAAATTGTTCTCCTAAGGGGGTTAAAAATATGCTCGTCACATCAGAAAGGAGGTGCCCTGTAATCTGAGCCTTGAGCACAAAGGCTCAGTTTATCCTGCAGGGAAGACAAAGCCAAATATCCCCATCAGTGAGGCAGCACGTGGAAAACAGAAATGGGAGAGGCCAGACTCCGTGCAGAGGTGGGTTGGGGGTAGTCAGTGTCACTGGAGCTTGGGTCTCACCTCAAGTCAGAAGGGAGACAAGTGGCAGACCCGGCATAGTAATTCAGCACACCGCACTTCCACCAGACTTGTCTTTCTGCAAACCGCATGCTTCCCCGCCATGCCATTCAAATACCATTTCCAAAGCACTCCCTATTTCTAAGGTTAGGCATGGTGGTGCTACCCAAAAGGAAGAGACAGAGACTTTGTTCTTAGAAGACTATCCCATATAAACCCCCCACTCAGACAGCCATCTGTTGGAGAACTCTTTCCCACCCCAGCTCACCTGGAGGTCAGTGCATCAGAAATGTGCTTAGAGTCACAGCAGAGTTGGCAGCAGATAACACCTCCCTTTGCCTTTGATCTGCGGGCATGGGGATTGTCAGACTGTACATTTCCGCAAGTGATGAAAACACTAACAATACCTCAACCCCAAACCTTAACCCTGAACCACGGGGTTGATAACGTTCTCCAGAGCAAGCAAGGGCACAGTCTGGAGCCTAAGCCCAGTTGTTTGGAGAAAACCTTAAGTGCAGCCTGTCTGGGTTTTCACGTGCAAGCCACACTGGTGGTGCTGGGAATTTGCTCCTTTGCTGGCAGATGCCACATTTAAATGAAAGCTGTGTTACACACAGGGTAGGAAAAAATTTGAGAATGTTTGCTATTAAACTCAGGCTGACTGGCCCACCCGAAGCATGAAGACAATCTAAGGCCTCTAAGCTGGGAAGGAATCTTGGAAGGACGTCTCTAGGTCTTGGCATAACACAGGCTTTCTGGGCCTTGGTGACTTGTAGGTGCTTTGTAATGTAGCACATTTGCTATGCTGTTTAAATATGTATGTCCTGGGTACAGAAAGCTAATATCTGGAACAATAAGGTAATCCTATATGCTTTTCAATGGAAAACATGAGCAGAGGCTACTTGCTGCCAGGGTTCTGCCATTATTGCTTAATTCTGTCTTTCAGTTATGTGATATCTTTGAAGGCACATTTGGTTAAAACTGCATGGAGAAAATGAGCCACAAACAATATCCATTCTGCCTTTGAGAATCAGGAGGCCAATTAAGCGTTGTTTCATTTGCAACTCAAAGAAAGAACCAAGGAGAAGTTGTAGTTCTCTCAGGGAAGCATCCCTTCCTGATGTCTAGTCCTCACTGTGCCAAGCCTGCTGCATCATCTCTGATAGATAAGAACTGTGGGGAGAAATGAGGAAAGATGTGAGAGTGGAGGAAAAAGCTGAACTTTCTCAAATATTTCAAAAAGTACTTCATGGGAGGGAGAGGCTGAAACTCTTTTGCATATTAGAGGCAGAAGTCTCTCTTGGCTTAGGAGTGTAGCTTTCTGGGGACACAAATTTTGGAAGTATGTTTCAGTGAGGATGGAACAAATAGCTCAGTAGAAAATGAAATGAGTTGGGGTGGTGTTACAGGGAGACTGGGGGGTGAATCTGAGGACAAGCAGGTGCCCAGCAGACTTCTGAAGATAAGAGACTCTCAGCAACAAGTGCCGCCTGGTGTGACAGTAAGAGACACCTCAGCCCACCCAGGTTCCATTAGGCAGTGCTTGCTTACTTACAAATTCTCTGTTCTTTTATGCTTTCTACTGCTCATAGAGGCAGCATGGATTAGTACAAAGAGCCCAGACCCTGAACTTGGGGAATCCTTCTTTTATATTCTGGCTCTGCGTGTACATTGGGGTTAATTATTTATCCACCCTAACTGTCAGGTTTTTTATGTATAAAATTTGAGTAATGATCTTGAGCTTACAGGGTTGTTATAAGAAATCAAAATAACTTACATAAAATTGCCAAACACAGTATTTGATATAAACCTGCAATGCAACAAAGAGGCAGCTGTGTCAAGACACATGATGACTCCTAAAGAAGTAATCTAAAAATAATGCCAGATGAGGCCCTACGAGTACCCAACAGACAGAACTCCATTGACTTTTCTCTCACCCTCCAAACCTGCACTCCAGGTCAACTGCTCTCTCCTCCTTATCAGCTTGGAATAGGCTTCATCCTAAGTGGCCACAGCAGGATCTGACTGGCTCAGGTTAGTTCTTCAAGTCTTACTTCCTACACCAATTCCTCTGAGAAGCCTTCACTGATTCGCTAGGACAAGATGTTAAGTGACCATTTTCCATGTTCCTGACAGCACAGAATGTGTTATACTTTACTATGAGTTTATGTAACTTGGTCAGTTTCCTCCACCAGCCTGGGAGCTTACTAAGAATTTTGTCTTATTTATCTCTGCATCTCCCCCACCTTGGCTAATATAGAGTGATACAAAATACGCATTTCAGATATATCTGATGAGTGAATTAATGAATATATGAATTGATGAATAAATGAATAGTACTAAATGAATAACCATTTCCTCCATCTCCCAGCTTAAAGCTCAAACATTTGGTAGTTATGAACATGCCTTCCAGTGTTCTTGTTAACCATGAAAATACAAGCAAGTGAAGCCCTCTATAAACCACATCCCAAAGAAATGACAGAAATTTCACCTCTCTAAATGAACATTTATGGAAACACAGTCATAGAAACCACTGTCAGACTCAACCCTGTAAGCTCAAGATCATTACTCTAATTTTATACATAAAAAACCTGACTGTTAGGGTGGATAAATAATTCACCCCAATGTACACACAGAGCCAGAATATAAAAGAGGGATTCCCCAAGTTCAGTGTCTGGGCTCTTGGTACTAATCCATGCTGCCTCTATGAGCA
This sequence comes from Homo sapiens, assembly GCF_000001405.40. Classification (NCBI taxonomy): domain Eukaryota; kingdom Metazoa; phylum Chordata; class Mammalia; order Primates; family Hominidae; genus Homo; species Homo sapiens. Next base: position 18,840,712 of record NC_000002.12, on the reverse strand, counting down.
GTAGAAAGCACAAAAGAACAGAAAGGAGCCTCCTGCCTTAAGAGTAGTTGAGTTGAAGTTATTGAGCAGCCAGAACTTCCTTACAGGGTGGAGGGCAGGGGGCACAGGTGTCTTCTTCCTCTCTCTAAATGCTTACAGCATCAGTTAGTTGGGCTTTTCATGGGACATTTCTATCTCAGAACAAAGTTTCAGAAGCTGCTCTTGCACTTGTTGGTCCAGCTACATTCTCAAGAAGATAAAGCATTCTCGGAAGAAACATCAAGGCCTACATATTGCGAGAAAGCAAAAAACAAAAAACAACAACAACAAAAAACAACAACAACAACAAAAAGAAAACACTCACCCAAATGACAATTGTGGTTAGTGTTTCCACAGAGGCATATGTAGTACCTTTTCCTTGGTCTCAGAAAAACATGGTTAACTGACTCAGCTATCTTGTTCTCTTGTCCCCATTACATTAAAACACTCCCCCAGTCTCTGAGGGAAGCCAGGATCTAAAGAAAATGGAAGCCTGGGAAGATACGCATCATTGTCGATATACAGATGGGAGTGGAAGGGGTGGGGTAAGAACAGAGGACAAGGAAAACCAGAGTCATTTCAATCACATTCCATTTTTGCCTTGCTAGAGAAATAAACATCCGGAAATGGAGAATCACAAGAAGTCTTTACACTTGTGTTCAGTCTTTTATCTATCACATTCATTGAGCCCTGACATGGCTTAACTGTCCAATACATGGGTCTAGAACAGTTTGTCTTAGGCCCAGGAGAACTGGAATCTAAGCAGGCTCTGCTGGGGATTGACAGAGGCCCCATAAACAACTAAATGCCCATTTTTTTTTCCCGAGTTAATTCACATGATACTTACTTAGAGAGCATAACTTTCGATTTTTCAACTAAATGGATTAGAGATTATTTCACCTAATTTTTAGATAAATTTACTATCCAATAATTGGCGGTGCTGGGCAACTCTTCGAATTGCTGAAAGGGAGAAACATTTGCTGTAAGATTTCTGTCTGAGCAGTGGAGAGTGAACCAGATTGTACTCTCTCTGCAGGCAGGCTGGCTTCCAAACAGGCAGACGAAGAACACTGAGTTGAATTTCTTTTCCCAACTCACCAGCAAGGTAAGTCCCTCCTCCTCCCAAGGAATAAGAGTAGAGAGCACAGAAGTGTGACAATGGTTAGAAGTCCTTCCATATAGAAATAGACTTTCCTCTGTGATGTCACTTATGGTCGCGCACATGTGCCTTGGGCTGGGAATGGTCTGCTGCTCCCCACAAAAGAGAAAAGCTTGTCCCACTCTGTTAGCTAGACCTGAGCATGATCATGATGAAATAGCAATCAATGGAGATGACACTTGTTGTTGGAGTATATCTATAAAAGCCAAACTAACCAGAATTCAGGCACATGTTCTTATTCAGCAAGGGAATCCTGCTCCTCTTATTCCATTATGAGAGCAAAAAGTGATCACAACAAAGTTAATTAATACCTGAAATTTACTTGGGATCATGGTAACTAGTTCTGGGCTGGTTCAACAAACATTTGTCTGCTTTCTTAGAACCTCTGAAGCTAAAATCAAATGCCATGAGTTTGAGGATTAAAATGACTGTACTCCAAGAATGGGTCTAACACAGACTTCATTAAAGATGTTTCTTACAGGTAACTTACTAAGACTGGACAATTAATAAATGTTTCAGATATATGTCCACAGTTTAAGATAGAATTGATGAAATGTATTATTTGTCACAAGGTTGATTAACAAATTATTCAAAATTTTCTGGCTTTAACTGCATTGTAATTTAAAACAAAGAAAATTGAGTCATGATTTCTGTCAGATAAATAAGTATATTATGCTCAAGCTTAAATAATCGTCTGTCTTAGCAAAGGGGTAAGATATTAGCAGTCAGTGATTAATTATTTTTTCTTCTAAAGGGTAAGGGAAGGAGATTCATATTCTGATCAGCTTGTTACTGATTTGTGGGAAGTGCCTGGTGTTCTTTCATCACGGGATGTGTCAGACATAAATGCCATTATAATTTACAATTAGTACTAATGTCTTCCAAATTATATTTAATGGAAAAGCCACTATGTTAGCTACAAATAATTTCTTTTTTAAAAGTTTGAAATGGATTTCAGTAAAGAAATGCATAGTTAAATTAATGGTGAGGAAAAAGCAATAAGTAAATCAACAGAACATGGGCGGATGGCAAAAGACAGTATATTTTGCTTATTTTTCCAACTGGGTTACACTTTTTATTCACATTCTACCTGTACTGGTTATTAGGTGATAGTGGTGGGGGGCGGCGCATGGAGGGATGAAGAGAGGATAAAAGGGACGAGACCTCATGCTAGCTGGACACCTTGCAAAATGCTTTAACAATTTTTTCTTTTAGTTCTTACAATAACCCTATGAAGTAGATCTGTTTCCCACTTTACAGAATAGCAAAGTGAGTATCATCGAGATTAAATCCATTAAGCAATTTATACCACCAGGGATGTAAGGAAGTGAAAATTAAACCTAAGCCCATTCAGCTTCAAACTGTCCACTGTCTCAGCAATGTTGTTGCTTCTCATTTTTCACAGCTGCTGGTACTGGACATTGAGCCTTTCAGAACTTCATGGGAACCCCTGTGGATGACCTAATACAGTGGTTCTGTGCTGAGGCCCAATAATTTACATTTCTAACAAGTTCCCACTTTGATAATCACTGACATAATTCAATCTTCATGTTTATAGATGAGGAAATTGAGGCCCAGATTGGAGAAGTGACTTGTCCAAAGTCAGACAACTCATCAGAGCCATTCAGTGTGTTCTTATTTCTAAACAGTTTATCAAAGTAAACTCTATCTCATATGGGGATGTGTATGTGTCTGTGTGTTTGAAGTGTATTGTCAATAGGTCTTTTTGTTTGTTTTTAATTCATGTCTAACGTCTTTAGGCTTCAAACCTGGGGCTTTCAATTTCAAATTTCACAGCATGGTCATTTTACAATGTGCTGTTTTCATGTTAAAAAGCACTGTTGTCATGCTGCCAAGATGCTAGCTCAGGTTTTGTCTTTATTTGTCCTTTATATGCTCTCTCTCTCTCTCTCTCTCTCCATATATATATATATATATATATATATAGATGCTTTTGGAAATGTGAGAAGAAATGCAAATGAGAACCCAGATCACAGGATTTTCAGGGAGAGACTCTGAGTATCACAGAGCAGACTTGGTCTCTCCACCACTGAACTCAATGCTAATCTAGATACAGTCTTTCCCCTTTCACACTGTGGGACTCTGGAGCTCTTGCCAGCAGCTGTCCTTATGCAGAAGAATGAGAAGCAACAACATTGCTGAGACAGTGGGCAGTTTGAAGCTGAATAGGCGTAGGTCCTGTGTCTTGAGTTTGTTATCTATTTGGAAGCAAAAGTCAAGTCAAGAAAAAATATCAGTTTAGACATGGTAAGTGTCATATTCATGGTAATCCCAGGGTCTATGAGAACAGAGAGGAAGGAGATTTAACCCAGGAGCTAGAGGAAGGGAATAACTCGGGTTATAATAGAAGGCTCTCTGGGAGAGGAGACTGTTGAAATCTTCATATTAAGTCCAATAAGGAAAGTATTAATTCTCCTATTTTACACAAGAAACTAAGTCCACAGCAAAATGTCCAAGTTCACAAACACACACACACACACACACAGCTTTTGAAATTTAAAGACAGATTTTCAGACTTACAAACTCCTATTTTATTTGATTTCGTGTTTCTGAAGTTCTTCATAATAAAGTGACTGTTAGGGGGACAATGGAGTCCTCCCCAAGCCCTGCCAAGGAGTAAAATTCCATCCTTATAGGTGAGGTGGTGGCAGGGGGTGGAGGCTCCAGTAGTCAATGAGGCAGTGGTGGCAGAGAGCTGAGGCCCAGGCATTCACCAGCAAGCTTATTAAACGTATCAGATGTCATCAGTACCTCCTTTATCCTTCTCACTTTGGACCTCACAGGCTGATAAGAAGGGGAAAGCGTTAGAACCCAGAAGTAAAACTGTGGCATGATTATAACCCTGACAGCCTCCCTCTAATGAGCTTCCCTGCAGATAGGGAGAGTGGAGAGTGCTTTGATCTTCAGGAGCAGCAAGCTGAAAGGACCACTGTTTGGAGCAAAGCCGTCTGATGGGGTCCAGTCTTCTAGTAATCAAAGTCACAAGCTACCATCTGAGCCATTTGTGAACCGCAGATAAGATTAGCTGCTCATTTGATATATCAACCACCACCATCAATGGAGGCTAATTGTATCTGAAATATGACCAGGGAAGTGTCAGCTCCTGGAGACAAGCATTTCCTTTATCCTGTGTTTGAAGCTGAGACAACATTTTTTGTTTGAAAACTTGAGCAAAACCTAACACATGCAGCATTTTTCTCCTTTTTTCCCCAGACACAAGATATGAGGAAATGTGGGGTTCTTTGAAATAGACATGAATCTGCATTTATGTTTTTACAAAGATTATGCATTATAGTGTGAGAGAATAGGCACCTTTTGGGTGGAAGACTGTAAAGTTCCAGGAATAATTGCACCACGGAATTACTTCGTAGCATCACAGTTAAAAAAGGAAAATGTCCCAGCTTTGGAAAACTGTATTCAGGAAGACCTGCTTTGAAATTCTAGAGTGTTGTGTGCTGTAGGAAAAGAAAACATGATTGGTCATTTGGAATTTAAAGGCACTTAAAAGGGCTGCATTTTTGCCTCAGAAGCTGGTGCAGCTGACAGCTTTACTTTCTTAGAATTTATTCCTATGTCAATAGAACTTGAGCTCAAAATGAATCATGGCCAGGCAACTTGCACAGCCCCTCTGCTCTGGCAAATGAAGAAAGCCCACTGTTAACTCCATGTCCACTGAAGATGGCTGTTTGCTCCTTAAAAGATTATCTATTCTTCTGTATTCTCCAGACACAGTATGGTGCAAGAGCCAGAAAATCTGGTTTCTTGTCTTCTGGGAATGGTTATGTGTGTGATTTTTGAGCCATTTTAGCCTTCCTCTTTTATGAAGGAGGGAAGAGAATTCCCCACTCTTACTTCACCCTGCTGCAGCTCGGGCTTCTCTATTTCCAGCCTCATCCACTATAGCTCTTAAATTGCTAGGCTGTCCCGGTATCCAGGCGGCTAGTCAAAGCTGCCTGAAAATGGCAAGGTATGATGAGAGGCACCTCATTAGGGCTCCTGAAATACATAGACCTAGAATAGCCCTGTGCAGTTGGGGTAAGAAAAGGAGGAGGGGAGGAAGACCTTTGAAAGAAGTAAGGAAATGTGTTGTTGCCTCCTCCCAAACTCTCAAGCTATGATGACCTTGGGGGAACTGCCTTCATTGACTTTCTTCTGCTACTCAGGATGAGCTGACACTCTGCCCTGCCAGCATCTGACAGCTCAGATGTAGAAACTACCTTCACAGTGCTGAAGACGGCAACCATAGTAGCAATGCTCCAGTAGCTCCTCCACAGGTCCAGCCCTTACAACCACAGAACATTACAGGTGGAAGGGTCTTTATAGATAATAAAATGTATCATGTGCTGTGAAAAGCATATTTTATTTCGTAGCACATTTAATTCTCATGCATCACCTCACACGAAGTTATAGCTATTATTTCTGCTCTAAAGATGAGGAAATTAAGATTCAAAAATGTTAATCAAGTTGCTTCAGGAATATACCTAGTAAGTTCCTGAGCTGGTATACAAAACCAGTTTTATTTGACTAATGGCAGAATTATCACTTTTTAATACAATGGAATAGATCACTTGGACCATTGTTCTAATTTTTAAAAAAGGTTCTGCAGCAAAAGATTCAACTGACCCTCTTCAATAACCCAATCTCAACCAGGCCCTAAAGTTCCATCTTAGTATCTAGTTTAAATGCCACCAATCTAGTTGAACTTAATAAGAGCACAGCTGTGAGATACCATGAAATGGAGATGTTAAGCTACCTTTCTCAAGTCCCATAATCAGTGGGACAGCTGGAGCTGGAACCCAGGACTCTTAATTCCTGGGCCAGTCCCCTGTGTGCTCTGCATTTGCTCCAAAGCACAAGGCAAATGTACTCTGTACCTGACACATGTTGGGAAGATGCCAACAGAGGATGCCAAGAGAAAATCTTTCTCTATCCAAGAGGATGACACAAAATATTGAGAACCAAGTGTAAATTTCCAATCATGAATGATGAATCATGAGCTTGCTTTCTGGAACACTCTATGATTCAGAATTACACATTCCCCAAGGACCTTAGATGGCTCAGGATTGCACAGTGTGACCTAATTATTAATTCTGTATACTACACCCTGAGGTTTGAGGTCGATAGTGCTTTGCTAGGTCCTGCCTGGTCTGTGAAGTCAGGGACACTGATTGTAGACAGAACCAGCAAGAAATCATGGGTGCCACACTCTGTGTCCTCCGGTCTTAAGGATTGAGATGGGCAGAAAGTGCCCTAGGATCAGGGGACATACAGATCCTTCCCTGTAGATCTCACCCTGTGGGTGAGAAAAAAGACTTGCCTCAGGCTGGGAAGCATTGCCCACTGCTCAAGAAGCTGTCCGAGGCCTCTTGCCCAAAAGCTATGGCCCTGCCAGTGCCATTTTAGGTTGCTCCAGGCAATATGGCCATATGTTTCTTGACCTCACTCAGACCTTCAGTTCTTAACTCTCTCAGCAGTGTTAGCTCTTATCTAAAAGAACCCTCTTTAGCCATTCCCAGCATTTTGATTCTCTGAAGTAGAATTTAATTCAGTTCCATAAGTGCTTGCAACAGGGACTCCGTGCTGTGGGCTCCAGGAAGCACAAGGGGCCTGTCTCTGGGCATCATAGGAGCACACTCTGAAGGTCAGACTCTCCTCAGAATTAAATTACTATGGACCAGAAATAGGAAAGGGACATAATTCCAACACTGCCTTGAAAGTCAGAAGGCCTGAATTCTAATTCTAGCTCAAGTCAACTGTCCCACTCTGGGCAAGTCTTTTTTTTTTTTTTTTTAATTCTCTGGATCTCATTTTCTACCTTTTAAAAATGAGGTGATACTTTAGCTTTTACTCTAAATCCATATAATTCTAAGTCTTTGCACTTTGTGTTCAGACAGCATTCTGAAAGAGGCTGATTCACAATAGGCACTGAAAGGACAACTACAAAGAGGCATTCTACAAAACACCTGACTGCTCCCCTTTAAACAGGCCAAGGTCACGGATGACAAGAAGGGAGCAAGAAACAGTTACAGATTGGAGGGGATGAAGGAGATATGATGCCTTAATGCAATGTGGGATCCTGATTGGGTCCTGGAACAGAAAATGGATATTTGCGGAAAAACTTGGTGTCTTAGTCCGTTTGGGCTGCTATAGCAAGACGCCATAGACTGGGTGATTTATAAATAGCATAAATTGATCACTTACAGTTCTGAAGGCTGGGAAGTTCAAGATCAAGGTGCCAGCAGATTTGGTGTCTTGTGAGGGCTGTACCCCATAGATGGCACCTTCTATGTGTCCTCACATGGCAAAAGAACATCAGGGGTTGGCAGCTCCCTCAGGCTTCTTTCAGAATGACACTAATCCCATCTGTGAGGGAAGAGCCATCCTGACCTAGTCACCTCCAAAGCCCCCACCTCTTAATACTGTCACCTTAGGGGTTGGGTTTCAAAACATGAATTTTGAAGGGACATGAACATTCAGACCATAGCACTGGTTAAAGTCTGTAAGCTTATAGTTTAGTTAGTTGTACTGTGTTGATACTAATTTATTTGTATTGATATCATGGTTGTATAACTATATTATATGTTAATATCAGAGGAAGCCAGGAGAAGTGTATATGGGAGCATTGTGTAGTATCTTTGCACTCTTCTTTAAATAAAAAATATTTTCAAACAAATTTAAAATAATAAAAATGTGGTTATATATTTTCTCAGAAAGTAGGAGCGTACATTTCTCAAGACCAGGGACCTTCTTTTCTCTTTCTGTATGTTCCTTAGTACTGCACATAGAGGTATCTTGCAGTAAGTTCTCAAAGAAATCTATATTAGAATTAAGTAGACCAAAAATGATTCACAACCAAATTTTAACCTGGGAAAAAGCAATGTGAAAGCTTGTGTCTGTTATAAGCAGTTAATATTGCAATTTTGGTATTTTTACAACTAAAACACAAAACAGTCCAGAAAAATACCATCATTTCCTGGCACCAAGGAAAAGAAATCTCTCCATGTTCAAGTCAGATAGCCAGACTGATTTAGGAAAACAAAAAGAAAAGAAAAAAAAATAACAAAAGATCAGATGGCTTTAAAAAAAAGAAATCATTGTTGCTATTTGGACTGAGCCAGAAGCTCCAGATAACAGTAACCACTAAAGCGGGGAGGGTGGGGGGGGAGGAAGAACAAAAAGCCTTGGAGCTCTCAATTTGTTTTTCATAAAAAATGAATTGCCCCCACCAAAATGTGCCTTGAAGAGTTAATTAAACAGCTGCCCTCATGGCTGATTCTGAGATGTTAGGAGCCCCCTGACAGGCTGCTGAACAAATGGGGCAATAAAGGTGTGGGTTGTTTGGCTTGATTGAAGAGTTTGAGTTTTTCACCCCTTAGTCTCCAAACCATCTGGAAGTGAGTCTGTGGAATGTGGGATGGCAGCCTCTCTGCCCTTATCTGCTGATAAGATTCTCAGCCTCAAACACGTGTACTAGAAAGGCAGGGAGCAAATATTTTAGACCTTAAACAACTTGCAAATCCTCCCTGTAAAGTGCATGCTGTGCTATAGCACAGAAGGAAGAAAAACCATCTTGCATTTTCCCCCTCTGTAGCCAGGGCTTTTGACATCAAAATGAGCAAACACTAAAGTTTCCCTAAAGGAAAACTGTTTTGGTCTTGACCGTTGAGTGTTACTGACCTTCTCTGAGTCTCCAAAACCCATAGGCTTTAAAGACAAAGCTCCTGAGAGTTGCCCAAGAATGAAACTGCCATAGAAAGAAGGTGTAATTCAGTGAAGAATTTGAGACTAAGGAACAATGTTTATGTTCTCAAGCTGAATCTTAAAAAACAAAAGTCTAAAGATGGCCTGCAGGTTACAACTTCACTGACAGAGAGTTCAGGTGTCTGATACCAGAAAGGTTTGACTGCTGATAAGGAAGAGTCTGGAAATTGTGAGTTTTGCTTTTAAAGCCTAAAAATCAGGCAGTATATATGCTGTGCGTACCTGCTGTGGTATGTGTATATGTGGTACAAGTTTGTGTGTGTGCATGTGTGTGTCAATGTCAAATTAAATTTAAACCAGACATAATAAAGAAAAAACACAATTAGATGAGGTAACATCTTGGGTGAGATACACACCACACACACAAGGACCGAAGGGACGCCATAGTTCAAAAGCACTTCGAGAATTCTGTTATTTAATCTTTCATACAGTCTTCTATTTTTGAGCTCCTAGTATGTTCCAGGCACTAAGTGGACTCTGGGAATACAGAGCCAGGTGATACAGTTAAGCCTTGCTCTCAAGGCATGCACAATCTAGAAGTACAGCCAAAGTAACCCAATGATTACAGGGCAGAGTGATAAGGGCCATGATAAGAGGAAGCTCAGATTGCCCTGTGAGGCCAGATGTGGGGTGGCAGTGAACAGGGAAAATAGCTAATGCATTGTTTGTTTTTCAAAACAGAAGATGTTTCTTCCCCTCTGGGCTCATCCCACCTCAGACTGATCTTTAAACTCAAATAAATAGGAAAGCTTTAATATTTGTGGAGTCACAAAAATACAATGACAAACTTGATCAAAATGTTCCTTCTCTCTAGTCTCAAAAATCTCAAGTTTACGCTGTTTGAATGACTAACAAAATTACTTTTTAACACAACAGAAAATCACCATTTAATTTCATTTACTCACTCGAATATTTTTTAAAGTATATACAGTTGGCCCTCTGTATCAGTGAGTTCCACATCATAGATTCAACTGACCTCAAGTCAAAAATATTTGAAAAAAATGAAAGGATGCAAGCATCTTTACTGAAGAGGTACAGATTTTTTTCTTATCATTATTCCCTAAATGCAGTATAACAACTATACTATTTACATAGTATGTCATTGTATTTAGGTATTATAAGTAACTTAGAGATGACTGAAAGAATATAGGAGGATGTGCATAGGTTATAGCAAATATGATGCCATTTCATGTCAGGGACTTGAGCATCCACAGATTTTGGTATCCACAAGAATCCTGGAACTAAATCCCCATGGATACCAAGGGATGACTTTATTCTGTGCAAAGTGTCAGTGCCCATGGTGTTAAAGAACACTGTCCCTTTGATCCTAACTCTTGAAAAAGGGCCCACTCTGGCCTTCTACATTTTATAAAACTTAATTGGTTTCATAAAAGAAAAGTTATCCTATTCCCACTTGTTGACAAAAACCAAAGTCATCATTTTTATCTACATCATCCTGCTAGAGGCAGAAGGGTTGTCTAAAGGCCTTATAACTAATTGCAAAGTAACACAATGATAATGATAGTCTCTTGGGCAAATTAATCTCACAAATATTTTGGCTCTGGCCAAACCAAACCAATGGAATTTCTTTATACATAGCTGTGATATTAACATAATGCCTTACTTGGCAAATAAACATTCAAACACAGCAGCCATGAAAGATCGACTTTAATAAGCTTATGTTGAAATAAATGATTCCTAGAAAATATGACAGTTCTTTAAGGACTTTGTGTCAGTACTCACACACAACAGCCCAACTTTCTCCTCCAAGTTTATAACTTTTTATATTATACTCTCAAAATACCCTCAAATGCCCAAAATAGATATTCTAAATTCCCTCTCTAGTTCTTCAAATATGAACTCTGCTGATTTTGCCAATTGTACTCCTAGATTTAGTTTCTCCGGTTAAGTGAGGAAGAGGCTTCTGCTTCCAGAGGTCAAACATTATCTTGATTTAGCAGGTTGGGCCCCTGAATCACTCCTATGCTCAGTAGCAAAGAATGCAGGCTGGGAAGGATTAATTACCAAAGCCAGTAATCCTGACTCCAACCTCCAAAAATATGAGGAAGTCCAAAAAAAATCTTGAAAGTGATTTGCAACATTCTGTTCAAATCAGTCTCATGAGTAATGTCACTTTGACACCTCTTACCCATGTAAACATAATTATCGCAGACATATCAGCTATTCTTTCTGAACCTTCTCCTTTTCACCCTGAGGCTCAATTTTCCCTCCTCTGAAAGAAGATCAACATAGTTCTACTAATAGCTTCTTCTTCAGTCTTCCTAGTGAAACAAGTACCCTGAAAGTGTAAGAATGCCAGTAGCTTGTTTTATGACAAGTCGTGTGTACTCCCACAGGCCTAGGAAAAGAATTAATTATGTATTTTGGTCTCGAGCCCAGGGGACATAGACAATCTTGGCAAGATCTCCTAAGTGGGATAAAACCCTGAAATTCCTGTCACTTCACATAAGTGAAATCTCAGTTTGTTAGGTGGTAACAGAGTGGAAATTCCTAGCTGACCATTAAAACTCCTAAATAGGTAGCAGTTTCTTTAATTTACTTTGATCTGGACTCAGTTGGCTAAAAGTTTGCTACAAGACCACATGTCTTCTGTATCACATGAGTAATCTTATGAATGAAATATTTATAGCTGAAGTTATTCACCCATTGAAAAGCCATTAGTGACTTTTATAAAGAGACACACACACACACACACACTTACATACACACACATATGTAAACATACAATATCAAACTCTAGCAGGTGACATGGTTTTGTATGTGTTAGAGATTGGCCTTGCCTAAGCAAGAATCCAAGGTTCACAATGCTAAAGGCATCTTAATATATCCCTCCAGTAATAAAAGTTCCATAAAATTATTGGAAAAATAGTGGGAAATGAGAAGAAAAACAGCATCTCACAATAAATGATATAAATAAATTTTATTCAGAATTTGGAGCCTAATACCATATGCCAGTGTCTAGGCATAAGTACAATTAAAATCCAAATAACTGAGAAGAAAATGTGTTAAAACAGCTGATATAGCAACAAATGTAATTGACAAGGGGTGCTAAAACCCTGAAGTTGATTACACACATGTACCCAATATGTGTCACATAGGGAATTTCTTTTTCCCTCACAACCAACCATCAGGGATTTTTAAAAAATAATATTATAACAAAGGAAGGACTTAATGAACTGCAGATTTGGAAACTTACATCCACATCCATGGTGTCCAGCTTGAAGTCTGGAAGGAGGCACACCCTGAGGCTTGATAGGAAGGAGGGCAAGCATGACTCTGTGCTTGCTCTGCCGTTCCCTTACACGGATCTGGAAACTAAACTTGAATGATTGTTACTGCAAGTACATTTGTTTTCTCCTTTAAGCTAGCATCGTACATATCTAAGATGATCTTTTCAACCCTCATTCCTCTGGACAAGGTGGAGTAGGAAAGCAGATTCGTTCTATAACCCCTTGGAAATCAGGGAGGCAGAGTAGGGATGTGGTAGGTGCTCCAGGTCACCCCGTCCTAAGTGATGGAGAGTTCCTTCCCCTATAGGCTCAAGGCTCAGTGTTCCCCAAACATAGGGAGCTGTGCTGCAGGGTCACCTGCAGCTGGAGCTCTCTTGTGGTACTCCCATGTTGTCCAGCACTTTCGGAGTCACCAAGAGAGACCCACTGCCCTTAGCATTGCATTCAAGTTCTTAACCAGTCACTCAAGCCTTTAGCTATAGCTAAACACTGCATCTGCCTCCTGCTCGAATCACTTCTATGCCTCTTCTAACCTGACTAAGCTGGTGTCCTTGCGTTCTGCAGAACATGCATGCATTTGTGGGGTCAATCTGCAGCTCGTGCCAGCACTGACCGAGGCACTGGGGATGCAATGATGAACAAAACAAGTCCTTTCTCTCAGGTGCATGTGTGGAGAGAAGCTAAGGGAAAGAAAGTCAGCACATAAACCAGTAAGTGAGTAGAAGTCAGCAGGCAGCAAGTGCTGGGAAACGCACTGCACAAAAGGAATTTCCAAGAGGTGGCAGAGGGAAGCTCCGTAAATAAAATTGTTAGAAAGGCCTCATTGTGGAGGCTTTCTCAGCAAAAACTTTATCTGAACAGAAGGAATAGTGAACACAAAGGCCCTGAGGTAGAAGTCAGGGCTGGCTTTTTCAAGGCACAGGAAGAAGCCCAATTTGGCTGAAGCAGTGAATGAAAAATTGAGAAGACATTTGAAACATGACAGGTCGGTAGAATTCTAAGATTTTCACTCTCTCTCCCTATGTACACACCCTGTGTAATCCCAGAAATATAAATGTAAAGCATTTTATTCCCATGATTAGGCTATATTCTACAAAACAGTTGACTTTTAACAAGGGAGATGATCTGGGTGGGCCTGACCTAATCACAGGAGCCCTTTGAAGTGGAGCATTTTCTTCAGCTGGTGGCAGAAGAGAAAGTCAGAGACTCAGAGCATGAGGATTCAGTGCACCATTGCTGGCCTGAAGATGGAGGAGACCACACAGTAAGGAGCTGAGAGTGACCCTTTGGCTGGCAGCCAGCAAGGAAACAAAAGTCTCAGTTCGACAACTTCCAGGAACTGATTTTTACCAATAGTAAGAATGAGCTAGGACTATTTACGATAGCAAAGACATGGAATCAACCCAAACGCCCATCAATGATAGACTGGTTAAAGAAAATGTGGTACACATACACCATCGAATACTATGCAGCCATAAAAAGGAATGAGATTATGTTCTTTGCAGGGACATGGGTGAAGCTAGAAGCCATCATCCTCAGCAAACTAACAGAGAAACAGAAAACAAAACACCACATGTTCTCACTCATAAGTGGGAGCTGAATGATGAGAATGCATGGACACAGGGAGGGGAACATCACACACCAGGAACAGTTTGGGGGTGGGTTCAGGAGGAGGGAGAGCATTAGGACAAATAGCTAATGCATGTGGGGCTTAAAACCTAGACAGGTTAATAGGTGCAATAAACCACCATGGCACAAGAAAACCTGCACATTCTGTGCCTGTATCCTGGAACTTAAAGTAAAAAAATTAATTAATTTTTTAAAAAAGAATGGCATAGGAAGTGGATTTTTCCCCAGAGGCTCCAGAAGAGAACTCAGTCCCACCAAGACCTGGATTTCAGGCTCATGATGCCTGTATTAGTCCCTTCTTGCACTGCTAGAAGGAAATACCTGAGACCGGGTAATTTGTAAAGAAAAGAGGTTTTATTGGCTCACAGTTTTGCTGTCTGTACAGGAAGCATAATGGCTTCTGCTTGGCTTCTGGGGAAGCCTCAGGGAACTTTTAATCATGGCAGAAGGCAAAGGGGGAGCAAGCACCTCACGTGGCTGTAGCAGGAAGAAAAGAGGCGAGAGGTGCCATGAGTGAGATCTCACGATCTCACTCATTATCACGAGAACAGCACCAAAGGGGTTGGTGTTCGACCATTCATGAGAAATGGCCCCATGATCCAATCACTTCCCAATGGGTCTCACCTCCAACATGGGGTATTAAAAGTGAACATGAGATTTGGGTGGGGACACAGACCCAAACCATAGCCATGCCCTAGAGAGAACCCAGCCATGCCGTGCTGTACCTCTGACATACCGAGCTGTGAGCTAATAAATGGCAGTTGCTTCATACTGCTCTGTTTGTGATCATTTGTTACACCATAAGAGAAAAGAGTAATAAAGTTGGAGGCGCAGATGGGGCCAGATGGTGCAAGTCCTCAACAGGACAAGATAAGAGTCTGGATTTTGTTTTCCTGATAAAGAACTTATTTGAGAGCTTTAAACAGGAGTCAGTAAAGTAGAAAGCGCATAACCAGGTTGTGCTTTGCAGAGAGCGCCCGGGCCGCTGGTGTAGAATAGGCAGAGGGCTGGAAAAACAGCCATGGGAGAGAACAGTCCAGGGTAGAGTTGTCTAAGTGAGGGATGGCAGTGCTGAGGTCTAGGGCTGTGGCAGAAGAGATGATGTCTTGGATCTGTTTGGAGGGAGAACTAGCAAAGATTCCAGATGGATTAATTTGTACGTGGAGTGGGGTGGGGGAAGACAAAAAAGAGAGGATTTGGGAATGATTCTGAGGTTTTTGGCTGAGATCTGAAAGAATGCTTGTGCCATTAGCTGAAATGGGCAACAACGGAGAATGGTCAGAGTGTGTGTGTATATGTGTGTGTGTGTGTGCACGTGTGTGCCATCATGCACAGGCCCACATGTGCAATCCAAGTACCTGTGGATGCTTTGTGCTTTCCTCTCTCTGCAGTTTTGCTCAAGCTTTCCTCTGTCCTAGAGCATCTTAATGCTGACCCCTGTCTGTTCCAAATACAGGCACCTATCAATAAGTCTTTTCTAGTCATCCACCCTAATGTGGCATTACTCTAGGCTCTCAGAATCTTACTTTGACTACCATCTAGTTAGTGCCTAACAATCTCAGAAAATTAGAAACATCATATTTCATGAAGTATTCATGACATCGTTAAGGTAACCACTGCCTTCGTCTGCCTGATTTTAACACTGGCAGTCTCATGTTCTGGGAAACCCCTCAGTCCCAGGCACACAGGGACAGCCAGGCACCCTAGATATCCCAAGGACCTCTCTCCTTCTCTCCAAGTGCCACATCACCTGTCCCTGGCTGCTCAGCTAAAAACAGCACACTAAATATAGCAGGTGCTTAGTAGTAACTAGCATATTTTGAAGATGATACTTTGTTCCTTCTGAAACTAATCAAGGCCAGAGGAGTGAGGTGGACCCTTTTTGCCATCATCCATCATCTTCTCTCCTTTTCTAATGTGGGAGACAGCAGCAGAAAGGTGACTTGGCATTGTTTTCCATATCCAAATCTGTTTTGTTTCTTTCTGATTATTTTTTGTTTTTTTTATTTTTACTTTTGGTTTGTTTTTAAAAATTACACACGTTTGAGCTTCTTTGAATGAGATTTAGTTCATCCCTCCCTTTTTCTATTTACTCAGTGGGCAATAATTCACAGGCTGAGTCTGAGAATGGGTTAATCCCTCTGCAGTCTGAGTATAGCTGAGTTTCCGCTCTTGGTTCAAATGCTAAGTGAACCTGCATAACCAGCTTCAGGTGCAGTTTAATATCTAGGCCACTGTTTATTTGTCAAAGGCCTTGCTGTGCACTCCTGTAGGTCAAAAGGTACAGAAATGAGAGGTGGCAGAGAGGTCAGCCCCCAGGGAACTGTGAAACAGCCAGGACTTCAGTAGGTTTGGCCATTAGCTCCCTGTGTGGCCTGGAGCAGGCCTCACAGTTCCTTGAGCTTTGGCCCATGGCATCTCCAAAGGCCTCCCCCCTCCCCACTCGCCTGATCTTACATAGGAGAAGTGAGCTCTAGGGAGAGGGGAAGGCCAAATCTCACTTGCACAAACAGTCACTCCTGGCTTGATCTCACTCAGCTTGTTCTGACGAGCAATCCCCAATATTTGTTGAGGATTTACTAGGTGGCGCTCTTTGTTAATTACCTCAATACATATCACATTTAACCTTCACATAACTCTACAGAATACTTATTATTCTGCTAATTTTTGGATGCTAAAAATAAGATGGAGAGTTTAAGGAATTTCCTCAAGCCACACAATGAGAAAGCACAAAGCTGGATGACCTCAAATTTCATACACACCATGTTTTACTGTTTTAGCTCTATTCTAGCTAATATGAATTAAAAGACAATGTCCAAGTACACTGAGACCTTAAAATAATATAAAATGGCACATATGTGATGCCAGCCATGCACCAATACTATACTAGATATCTTACATACATCATCATATTTGGTTTATGTCATTCTCACAACCATATTGCAAAGAAAATATTTCTATCCTCATTTCTTATGAAAGAAACTAACACTCAGGGAGTTAGAGTAATTAGCCCAAAGCCCCACATTCAAAATGTGATGAAGGAGAGCTGCGGTTTCTGTCTGAAACAAAGCTCATTCTCTTCCAGCGCGTCCTGTGGTCCCTACAGCACAGAGACCACAGATGAATGGGATCACGTGTGCTACAGTGTGGCAAGGAGACATGGCCAGTGGGGAAGAGCATGAAGGACACAGAGCCTATGGGAGACCAAAGCGTAAACCAATGGCAGTTGAGAAGAATGAGCTCATGACAAGCGGTATGAGCAGGAGGAGTGGAAATACATGGGGTGTAGGTGAGCACAGTGGGCTTTCCAGGCAGAAAAGAATCAGGTGCTTGTCTTGCAGTCAGCTCAATGCATGGCTCTCTCCCACTGTCATGCCCAAAGAAACTGCCTCCCCATCTCTTTCCATATATCCAGGATGAGATACCATCTTCTGAAAAAGGAAAATGAAACAAAGAAAGGGGTGCTGTCTTGCTGCCCTTTCTGATGACTAATCTTTTAAACACCTGACCCAGCACAAGCAGAAATGCAGGTCCAACATGAAATCAGAGGTGGTCCCAGACCTCTTCCCAGAAAAGCCTTGGTCCTTGTCCAGTGCAGAGCTAGTAACTCCACAGAGAATAAACAAAAAGAAACTACCAACAGAGTGAACAGGCAACCTATAGAATGGGAGAAAATTTTTACAATCTACCCATCTGACAAAGGGCTAATATCCAGAATCTACAATGAACTTAAACAAATTTACAAGAAAAAATCAAACAACCCCATCAAAAAGTGGGCAAAGGACATGAACAGATACTTCTCAAAAGAAGACATTTATGCAGCCAACAGACACATGAAAAAATGCTCATCATCACTGGCCATCAGAGAAATGCAAATCAAAACCACAATGAGATACCATCTCACACCAATTAGAATGGTGATCATTAAAAAGTCAGGAAACAACAGGTGCTGGAGAAGATGTGGAGAAATAGGAACACTTTTACACTGTTGGTGGGACTGTAAACCAGTTCAACCATTGTGGAAGACAGTGTGGTGATTCCTCAAGGATCTAGAAGTAGAAATACCATTTGACCCAGCCATCCCATTACTGGGTATACACCCAAAGGATTATAAATCATGCTGTTATAAAGACACATGCACACATATGTTTATTGTGGCACTATTCACAATAGCAAAGACCTGGAACCAACCCAAATGTCCATCAATGATAGACTGGATTAAGAAAATGTGGCACATATACACCATGGAATACTATGCAGCCACAAAAAATGATGAGTTCATGTCCTTTGTAGGGACATGGATGAAGCTGGAAACCATCATTCTCAGCAAACTATCACAAGGACAAAAAACCAAACACTTCATGTTCTCACTCATAGGTTGGAATTGAACAATGAGAACACTTGGACACAGGCTGGGGAACATCACACGGGGCTTGTTGTGGGGTGGGGGAAGTGGGGAGGGATAGCATTAGGAGGTATACCTAATGTAAATGACGAGTTAATGGGTGCAGCACACCAACATGGCACATGTATACATATGTAACAAACCTGCACATTGTGCACATGTACCCTAGAACTTAAAGTATAATTAAAAAAAAATGCACGTTCACAGGTTTTCCACACCAAGGAGTTTGTTATAGGTCTTTGCTATGTGGCTCTTGCGCTAGTAGAATTTTCCAAAATTCTTTAGAAAGAGTGGTTATTATTTTATTCCTTAGAGGCCAGCCCTTTTGTAGGGAGTGGGGAAGGAAGTACATTTATACTAATGAGATCAAGGCAGCTCATTTAAATGAGAAGGTAGATGTATTACCAAGACTTATGACCAACTATTTTTATAACTGATATGTCAGGAATGTGTCTCTATTCTATTAGGATGCTATCTCATATTCTGGTCAACCACTGTACTCACTGGATGCAATATATTTATTTAGAAGAGTAATTTAGTATTTGGAAGAGTAAATGAATTCGATGTTTTAAAAAAAATCACTCCAGCTTTCTCCACTCTGAAGCATTTTACTTAAGCCTGACATTACTACTGGGATTCTTGGCATTTAGTTTAAGGAAAAAAGTACAGTCAGGTGGTTTTGACCATTAATGCCCACTTGATTTGTACTAATATTCCTTGTTAAATGCCTAAAGAGACAGGAACGGTATGCCAACTCTTCTGAAATAGACCCTCTATCTTTCTCAGACATATGAATGGGATGTATCATTCATGACACATGTCATCTGGCATTTGGCACCATGAAGGCTAGGAACACAAGCAGTAACTCCTGACAGACTGTAATGCACACTCCAAGTTCCTGCCATCTTGCCTAAGGCCCTCAGTGCAGGGATGCTCTGGGGCAATTGCCTCCCCTCCTTCCTTTCCTCCCCCCATCAGCTTTCTTCTCCTCCAAATATCCCTTTCCTTCTCCTCTCTCCTTCTAGAGGAAGGAGAAAGCTGGATGACCTCAAATTTCATACACACCATGTTTTACCGTATTAGCTCTATTCTAGCTGCTACGGGATACAATATGAATTAAAAGACAATGTTCAAGTACACAGAGACTTCAGAATAATATAATGACACATATATGATACCAGCTATGCAGCAGTACTACACTAGATGTCTTATATACATCATCATATTTGATTTATGTCATTCTCACAACCATACTACAAAGAAAACATTTCTATCTTCATTTTTTATTAAAGAAACAAGCACTCAGGGAGTCTGAGTAATCAGCCCAAAGGCCCACATTCTGGTTTCTGTCTCTTCCTTTGAGAATGAGCTGGGCATTCCAGCCTTGCCTGGCTGCCCACCCGGTCCTGGCAAGATTATCTAAAACAATAACAGTATACATGTTTCAGTTTTTTGGGAAGTACACAGTCCACCCATATTTTGCCCCCTACCTGGAATTAAAATAAAAGCACTTTTTATTTTTCTAAAATAAAAGAGAATGAGAGAAAACAATAAATGCAAAGAAGTTACGTTTCTTGATTTTGAGATTAGCTTCTTCCTAGAAAAAACTTTGGTGGGGGCAGTCGAGGAAGTGGGAGGGAAATAAATCACAGGCATGAAGTGCTTCAAAGAAGAGGGGATAAAGAAGCAGAAAGGAAAAGCCAGAAAAAAAGAAAAGTGTAACTGAAAACAAGTACCAACTTGATAGATTAAAATTGAGAGATTTTTAATTTGAATTTTTTTAGTTTAATGAGATTAAAATTTTCACATTTACTACCTATTAGTATTTCTTTTTTACAAACTATCTCTATATTGTATGTACATTTTTCTACTGTCATTTTCATATTTCCCTTATGATTTATAATAGTTTATTTTGCCATATTTTGCAATTTTCTTCAAATGAGATATTTTTTCTTTCAATTTTGTTTATATTATTTTTATCTCAAGACTTAAATGTCTATATATTTAAATATTTTGATATTTCCTTTATTATTTTTGCCTTTGCCTTTATATTTACATAGGCTTTTTTCCCCTACAAGAACAGATAAATCTTCCTTTGTGTTTTTGGTACTTCATGTTTCTAATTTTATATTTAAATATTTACTCTTCCTGTAACTTTATTTCAGCATAGTACATGGCAGTGAAGAATTAGTTTTCTCTCCTACTGTGATGCAGAGCCTCCCAAGAGTTCATGCAGCACTCACATATGACTGTGCTCTAAATCAGCTCATGCTTATTTCTTTCACCAAAAATAAGATTGAAAGATATAGATTTCATATGTTGTAACAGAACAATTTATTTCTACTTCTATCAAGAATATAATAAGGATTTATTTGAAAGAAGTGAATCCTAAAATGTTCTAATTATTTTATAATTTACTGCTATTTGAAGAAAAAAAAGGTAAGGAATTTAAAATAATTTGCATTAACTCCCAGAAAAGCTTAAAAGTTGGCAAATCATTATTTCCTCTAGGATATCCTCTTCCTACTCAAAGTGTGATCTTTCAACCAGCAGCATTGTTATTATATGGGATCTTGCTATAATTGGAGACTCTCAGGCCCACCTCAGACCTACTGCACGGGGATCTGCAATGTTATGAGATCCTCAGGTGGCTCCTATACACACTGAATTCTGAGAAGTGCTGTTCTGTCTAACCCTTGGCTTTCTCAGTTTTCAAATGGGTCAACAGCAGACCTAATTAAGAAGCATGATTTCCACAGAGCCCTAAACATAGAACATAATATTTTCACACTGGGGAGAGAGGAAATTGAAAGAGAAAGGCTCAATATAACAGAAATCTCAGCTTCAGATTTCAACCTGCCAAAGTGTTCAAGGTTACAAGGAAATAACTGTTATTGCGGAAAGCTCCTGGAAAGAAAGCAGCACTGTATGCTCTTCAGGTCCACACATTAAGCCAACCTTCTTCACCAGATCCTCTTTCTGGTTCCTGCAGTTCCTCTGGGTGTTTAGAACACCCTCAGGCTGGGGGCATTTTGGCAATATGCTCTTAAATTAAAGATGCATATGCTCTATGATATCAGTCAGCAATTCTACTGGACATCAATTCTAGATAAATTCTTACATACCAGTACATAAAAGCATGTGCATTACAGCACTAGTTATAATAATAATTAGATACAACATAAATATCTGTAAACATGACAATGGACCCATAAATTGTGGTATGTTTATACAGAATGCTATACACCATTTTAAATAATGAACTTTGTACACCGATAGGGAAGATTCTCAAAAACATAATATCAAAAATACAGGGTTTTGAAACAATGTATAAAATTTAAAATTATTTACATAAAATTTTAAAACCTGCAAAATAACACTCTATAAAGTATGTGAATACCTATAGACAAAGAAGTATAAAATCACTCATGAGAATAATGAATGCTGAATTTACAATAATGGTTATCTCTGAGAAATGAGGGAGAGAATACAATTGGAGAAGGTACAGAGATGTTTTTACATTATTGCATATTTTTATCTTTATGTTGAAAATCTTTCATGATAGAGAAGAACAATTTAGGGAGGAAGAAGGCAATTTCTACCCGGAAAAAGAAAAGAAACAGAAGCAACTGAAAAAAACACCATAAAACTAAGTATTTATAGAATTTGAGAAGTTATGATTTTTAAAGTAATGAAACTTTTTGGGTTACTTTTTTTTTTTTTTTTTTTTTTGAGAGGGAGTCTCACTCTGTCGCCCAGGCTGGAGTGCAGTGGTGTGATCTCAGCTCACTGCAAGCTCCGCCTCCCGAGTTCATGCCATTCTCCTGCCTCAGCCTCCTGAGTAGCTGGGACTACAGGTGCCCGCCACCAGGCCCGGCTAATTTTTTGCATTTTTAGTAGAGACGGGGTTTCACCGTGTTAGCCAGGATGGTCTCGATCTCTTGTTGTCGTGATCTGCCCACCTCGGTCTCCCAAAGTGCTGGGATTACAGGTGTGAGCCACTGTGCCCAGCTTTGGGTTACTTTTAACCTAATAATAATTATGTTTTTCCAACTGAAGGATGATCAAAATACCTCCTAGTTCTTGGCTCTTACTTTCATTTACTCCTTGTATGAAAGAATCAATACTGATTCATGGAAATTTCTGTGAGTCAAAAAAGGCACAGTTGCTTCAAAATTCCTCCTGAGTTCACCACAGTTATAACCAATATCAGCATTTTCTCTTTGGTTTACATTGTCGGAAGTAAATACATATTAGGCTATTTTTTCATTAGGAAACAGATTCCATGCAGGTTGACAGCATGAATCTTGGACTGCAATTCAGTTATTTAGGAGCTATATGATGTTGAATGAGGTACTCAACTTCACTGAGCCTATGTGGAAATAATAGGTCATAGTGTTATTATTAGCATTAAATAAGATATATAAAATAGTACTCTATTTAGCTCACAATAATGTTCTATCTGTGATGGCTAATGATGATGATGATAGTAATAATTAAGACTGTGGCCAGCCTATGCTCTGTAAGTTTTCTTATATCCAGGACTGTAATATCCAAGGAGACACATAGTCTATTTTGTAAGGTAAATAAACAAGGCACCCAAATGAAATACTGTAGAGATATCGCTTTTGTTCAGATATAAAGACATGACGAGGAAAACAAATAGTGCTTTTTAACTCACTCCTCCTTTTAACTTCGAATACCTTTTTTTTCTTACTCCACCCCAAATACAAGTTCACTTGGGTTCTAATGAAAGATTTTCTGATTGACCTGCTATTAGTGTTTAGGAAAATTGATGAAAATACAAATTCTAAAATAAGAGTTTTAAAAATTTGAGCTTTGATTGCTTTTTTTAAACACAAACTCTCCACAAATAACTTAGGAAGTAGCAAATTAGGTTTTGCTCTGGGCGACATTGCCCCAGGTGCAAAGTTCTAAATACATTTATGAGATCATGAACTTTGTTAACCAACATCCATCCACCAACACCTACCCTCTACCCATAAACTCTTCTCAGCAACCATGAAAGAAGCTTGGGCTGGGCCTGGTGGCTCACGCTTGTAATCCCAGCACTTTGGGAGGCCAAGGAGGGCAGATCACGAGGTCAGGAGATAGAGACCATCCTGGCTAACATGATGAAACCCCGTCTCTACTAAAAACACAAAAAATAGGCCAGCGTAGTGGTGGGCGCCTGTAGTCCCCGCTACTTGGGAGGCTGAGGCAGGAGAATGGTGTGAACCCGGGAGGCAAAGCTTGCAGTGAGCCAAGATTGCGCCACTGCACTCCAGCTTGGGCGACAGAGTGAGACTCCATCTCAGAAAAAAAAAAAAAGAAAAAGAAAGAAATAAGCTTGTTATTGGCCGGTGCCAGCCCCTTGACTACAAATGGAGTGGTGAGTATGGATAGAATTGAAACACCAAGGGCACCATGATGGTGCCAGCTGGCCTAGAACTTCTCTTTATAGGATTTGTATTTTCATTAGTTGTCCTAAATACTGAGAGCAGATCAATCATGAAAATCCTTTGTTAGAATCCAAGTAAATCTGTATTTGTGATAGAGCAAGAAGGAAAGGTATTCAAAGCTAAAAGTGGGGATGAGTGAGTACTATTCATCTTTTCTGGCAGGTCTTTCCATCTGAACAAAAGCCAGATTTGCCTATAGGCTTGAGTGAGCCCTTTCCTCTATTTCTTCTCACCTTCTCCTTTACTGATCAATGGCCACATAATATTTTGTTCCCTACTCTTTCTCCTGCCTCACCCCACACTGATAGGTTTATCTCTGAAATGAATGAGTGAGAATTTTCCTACCCTTTACCCAGAATAGAAGGAAACTCTATAGGTGACAGTATGATATAATATCTCAGAGCTGCTCTTTGAGAGGGCAAATCAGGACATTCTCTTTTTGAAACTAAAGGCAGTAATGAACACTAGAAAAAAAACAGCACCCTTAGAAGAACTAAGTTGATCTTCACACCCAAGTTGTGATGCTTGCAAAGCCCCTCCCAACATGTAGCCAAAGGCGTTTGTGAAGATTCTGTAATCTTAGGGTGTTGGACAGCTCAGAAATGCAAGAATAGTGTATGCCTAGGAGAACAAGGGGCTCTCTCCAAGCAAAAGTGCTGTTGACATTGACTCTTCTCTACTGTTTTTGACAAAAGGGTTCTGAAAATGAAGGGCTCCTTCTATTTGCAAAACTGCCAAAAATTGTGCGTAATTGATGCTTCCCTGAGAAAATCACCATGAAAAAAGACCAAAACCCTCTTACAACAAAGTTAGACATGGCTCACAGAACTAGGAGAGAAGAGAAACTAAACGGGAATGGGAGTCCAAAAGCCAAATCCTCATGACTAGCAGCAGTGAGTTCAGTAGTGAGCACAGTGGTTCTTGGGGAGCAGGGAGGTGGAGATGGGGTAGGAGTGAGTATAAACCCCTGTTAATTCTAGCTGAGACTGGTTGTAGGAAAAGAATTGGAGAATGTGTCTAAAGCATAGACATAAGATACTTATTGAGAAATTAATGGATTCCCATACTGGAAAACATTTTATCCGTTTTTGTTCTGCTAAAATGAAGTAAACAGTTGTCAAGGATAAGGTGTCAAGCAGATTTCCTACAAATAAAGAGCTTTCCTAATAAATTATGTACCGAGTAAAAGGAATTGTATTTTACATGCTATGGCCTTGTTTCACAGTTTTACAGATTTCTTTAATCCTAACTATATTTTCCCAGGTTTTATATGAGCTGCTGACACTGGGTACTAGTGATGGCTGGTGAAACTGTACTTTTTCCAGGGTTTTAAATCTAGAAATGGTAGCTAGAGAGGAAGAAATGTAACTGCAAAGAGAATTGTGGCTACAGCTTTTATGATTCCAAGTAAAAATGAACATGTCTTGAAACTTTCAAAGTTCCCTTTTCTCCATAATTCTTCAGAATGATCTCATCAAGAAATGTGTTATCACTTCAAATTTTCAGAAGAAATGGAAGCAAATCATGATCACTTGAAAATTTGGGAGAAACTGATAAAGCAAGTTTGAAAGAGTCCGTTCAACATACATTAGGCATTCTTTGATTAAATCCATCCGTATTACCTAGAGAGTGTTAGGTCTTTTCCAAGATTTCTTTAAATGCTTTTTGAAGGCATTCCTTAATTCCAAAATGTTTAATGAAATAAAATGTTTCCTAGGTTTGAGATACTGAATATGATGCTACAGTTAGAAGGTACATATAGAAAAAGCAGATTTGGAAAGTTAAATTAAGTACATCTTTGTGGTGGTTTAAGAGTATTTTTCCAGCAAGGGCTACATGGTGGCTGGAAAGTGAGAACAAAAAATGAGCACCTCAGGCTCAGGTTCAGGCCTGAGTAATTCACTGGATAGTCCACCAACAAGCAGGAGATCAAGTTGGCTGAACTTGATAGCTTTTACAACAGCCAAACATTTAAATCAAAACCCCACATTTAGTATGTGTGAATGTGCCAGATTTTTGTGGGAAATTATTAGCACTTACTTCTAGGGGCACTCCTCTAGGGTGTCTTCCCTGGGACGATGGAAAGCCAGTAGAATAAAGACAAGAAGCCCAAGTCCAGATTCAGCTCTGGACTCAGTTGATGTATGACTTTGAGCAGGTCATTTCCTTTTAGACCTCCTTTTCCATGTCTATAAAATAAGAGGATAAGCATGATAATTTATAAGTTCCATCTAATTCTAAAGCTGCATGGCTGAAAAGAACGTCTTCATCTTGAAATTCAAATCAATGTAGTTCCCTCTTCCCTAGGAATCAGAGTTAAAGAGTCTCTGAAAATTAAAGCTAGAAAGAATCTGAGAAATCATCTAACCCAAATCCCCTCATCCTACTCATAAAGAAACTGACCACATGTGTTCATTGGCTTCACTCCCAGATGCCAGTAAAACATTTGGTTGTTTCGAGCAAGTGCAGAATGGAACTCCTGAATCTGAGAAATCTAGTTTCATGTTTTCTTACTTAGGAGTCATGTGATTCTACTATCAGAAAAAAAAAACACACATTCAAATTATAGTAGAAATAAGATATTCATGTAAAACTAAGATGAGGTTTTCAGCATCATAAAATTAAATATCCCTGCATATACCCCAAAGGCAGGACTTGGAAAGAAGCTAGGTAGTGCTTCAGCTATAAGGCTTATTGGCATACAGTCCTTGGGTCAGTTGGTGGACCATGGCTGAGAAGGAGTATCAATAGTAAAAAAGAAAAGTACCCTGAACCTACCTACATGTTAAAGAGGGTACCATGGAGCCAACAAGGAGGACATATGAGGATAGAAGGAAGAACAAGAAGCAAAGAGGAACAAAGCAGAGAGTGTAAGCCTATTACGGGAAGCACCAAAGGGACCAAATTCCTGTTCATTAGGAGCCAACCCCATCAGCCATTAGCAGATCAGTTGTAAAATTCAAGGTGAAGGTAGACAAAGGTGATTACAGTACATGGCTGTCCCCCAAAATCATTTTTTAAATCATGCTTTAAGAAGGTAATTGCCGTAACTACTATTATGGTATGATATTGTCTTTAAAAATATTTTGGTGTGAAATAATGTGGCAAGTGCCTGGGTCTTCTCTTACTAGCTGAAATATAAGTACCTTTGGGATTTTATTGATTATTGTATCACCAAAGACAGAGGCCTATTATATAGTGTATTCAATAAATGTTTGGTTCACTCTACAGCTGTCAAACACTGTTTAGTTGAAAGTAACAATATCATCAATCATTTCATTATATTACTGATGAAAGTTTATTTTTAAAAAAGTGTGCATTTTGTATAGTTTTCTAAGTGCTCATAAATCCCTATGGAATGTTGTGGGAACTGGATACTTCCGGAGATCTCTGGGTACAGAATGTTCAGCAATCCAAACTTATCTGCATTTATTAATATAATATGTGGCTTAATAATGTTACATACTCAGTTGAATAAAAAAAAAGTCCATCTTTGCATATTACAATAATTTTGTAGAATTCAAGATTCATTTATGTATGGCCTTCTGAATGTTTCCTACTTCTGAATATGACTATTGAAATTATATAGATAATGCCAGATACACAAGACTAAGAACTTCATTTGTATCCTGAAACCTCTTTATTGGATAACTATTCTGAGAAGATATTCATATTTATTAACAAATCATTTTACTCTTCAGAATATGAAGGCCTTTGGAGAAATTGTTCATTCTATTCCTCAAGGGCCACTGAATAATTATCTTTCTGCTTAAAAGAGAAAGATACATTTTCTATTCTTTTAGAGATCAGGATCATTCTTCCATTTACCCATTCTCTCATGCTTACTAAAATAATTTACTTACATTTGCTCATTCCCTCATCCTTCTAAAATCATTTACATACATGACAGATACAAAAAATTAATTAGGAAAAAAGGTAGAAAAAGGCCTCTGACTTCAAGGCGTTTATGTTATGAAAGTCAGAGAGATGAACAACATTGTCATATTTTCCTGAGTATCCTCCACAGTAACCAATACAAGCCTGAGTGTCAATAGTCACTTAGAAAACATTCACTAGCTGAATGAATCAATAAATGCAATTATGAAGGGTTGGATGTAGTGGACATATTTGGTCAATTAGCCACTAGAGGCTACATCTTGAGTGTGAAGGAGCCATATTTCAGATAAAGTAAAACCCAGCCCTGAATGATGTGTTTTTAAATTATGAGGTTTGTTTTCTCTAGAATGGTTTCATATTCATGAAGAGCCAGTCCATGGGATGTATTAGGAAATCCCTAGCATTTGAAGATAATTGGAGAGACTAACCAGGCATGAACCACTTCCAAAAGGAGTCCTCATGTACCTGTCAGAGCAGAATCCCAGGTAGGTGGAGAGGCCATGGGGTTTACCCAGCTTACCATTATCCATTCATGTTGGCATGTGCTAGGCATCTCCCATGCTCTCTTTAAGCACTGCTAAAGAGTCTCCTGTGTGCCCTTTCCCTAGCACGTAGGGACACAGTAGCACAGAGATATGAGTCAGTTGCTTTCTAACTACCCAAATCCTCCATCTATTCCTGTGTGGACCCTTCCTGGGATGGCTTATCTGGTTTTCACTTTATGTGAGACTGTAAAAGAAAACCAATCTTTGCTGAGGGCAGCAACAATCCCTGAAATGGCCTGCATGAGCTGCTGATTTTATAACACTGCTTTGCAGGGAAGGTGGTGAGACATGGACAACATGCTCATATCATGTAGTGTAATATTCAGGAAGCCCACAGTTTCTTCCAATGGAAGAACAAGAGGACCAGGTGACAGTAGAGGTACAAATTGAGCTGCTCAGCCAGAACCAAGTCAAGAGGATTCTCCAGCTTATTGAGGCTTTAGAACATTCCAGGCTGAATGGAATACAGTTAATCTTTACATCAAATCCAGTTCTACACTTAAAGATAAAAGTGTCACTCTTAAGTCAGCAGGCATTGATGTCTGGCAAGAAGCAAGGTAACACTCCAATGAAACACTGATTTTAAATCCTGAAAGCTACCCTCTCCCCTCCACTTCTCCAACCCAAGACTTGAGGTTTAAATAATTCATAACTGAATCAACTACAATTCATTCAGAGGCCACACTATGTTCCTTGACTTGATAATAACATAGCCATGGAGAGGTAGACCTTGAAAATTAGTCTTTCATTGGAATAAACACTCTCCAGGTATTTCTTATTCTTGTCATTGCAGCAAAGACTACGACACTCTCTGGGGAACAACAAAAAAAAACAATGGGACCACAGTCCTTTCCACAGATGTTCTGTGCCACTTCCCTCAACATCTACCAAGTTCCTGAGGCTCAAAATTGGCCTGGATTTTCTTCTATGATTCCATGAGATATCAACCATTGGGGCAAACTTGCTGAACTTACCACCCTGGGAAGATTATATGGGTGGTGAAGACACTGCAGGTATTTGTTTACTAATACCTTTTGTTTATGAATGTATGACTTGATGCAGGCATCATCAAACATTGACTTTTTCCCCCTAATATCTAAGATGCCAGCCCCTTGGGTTAAGCATTATCCTTTTATATATTTTACAAATTTGAAAGCTATGCCTTAGTGTGAATATTTTTATCTTGTTCATTTGACTGTGTGCTATATACCGGACATTGTCTATGTTTTATATATATCACCCCAAAGAACTTACAGATATCTTTTTTCTTTGATTATCAAATTGACGGTCAGAAAGGTAAAAGCAGAGCCAGCCTATGAGTCCAGGATTGTCCATTTACTAAACCTGCTGCTTTCCTTTTCCCATGAGGCAAGATAAAGAAAGGATGGGCCCCTTGACAGCTGTTGCCTGCAGAAAGAGACATGGTGAAAATATGGTAAAGAGATTCAGACCAGGGACATCTCAAGATAAATTTGGCCTAATGCCAATGCAAATGCTCAAGGATGCTGCAGAAGAGATTGTGTGTAGGGGGCAAATGCTCAGTTTTTCTGAAGGGCACTGACCATCAGGGAATAACAAAGAAATGGGATAGTAACAGGCTGGAGAGGAAACTGGCCAAGCCCACCAGACTCCATAAACTCTCACTAACTCCTCCATGAATACAGAGTCAATAACAGAACTAACCGCACACTATTGCCTTCATGTGAGCCCAGAGGATATTACTTTCTCCAGTCTTTCAACTATTTGAGAAATGTCTATTGTTAACAAGAATTCTATGCCCTCAGCTCTCTAGTATTGGGAATTAAGGAATTTACAAGCAGTGTTATTGGGAATATGCCTGAATATTTGGGTGTATGAACATAATCAAAAGAGAAATATTTTTATATAAAGGCATGTTTTAAAATCAATATATAAATATGTGCAATAATTTACGATTTGGTGTTCAGTATGAGTGTTGTTATATTCATTCAGGCTAGAACACAGTGATAGTTCAAGATAGTTGAATTGTCGCTTTTTAAAAGAGTTGTTTTTATACTCCTGTATTATAATTCTCCTTCACCCAGTTTACTGGTGAGATGCACCACAAGTAATTTGTTATTAATGGTAGGTAAAGTCTGAAATTTGTGAGTGATTTAATTTTAGAATCCTATAAATGAGTTCCAAGATAACCACTACAATAATGTCACTGTCATTCACTTGCTTTACAATATGCTTTCTCAAGTAAAAGAGAACAAAGGTAGAACTCAGGAACCCTTATATAACCTCAGGGGCATCCCATAGGAGTGTGTGATACATCCTCTGTTATGTTTGTAATGACGAAGAAGTTTCAAACTATTCCTCTAAAACACAGAGTATAAAGAAATACAATGTTTAGCTATCATTCTGCATTCCACATTTGCATGATCTCAGAATTACATTATATGTAGAAACACATGCTAGAACATATTTTTAAGGAAAACCTTTCAGTTCTCAATTTTTTCAATAAGGTCACCAAATATAAACAATGTTTATCAAAAATACATAAAAAATGCATTGACTTTTGGAAGAAAAATATGGAGATATTAACATTATAGATCATGTGAATGTGTCAATAACTTGACAATCTCTAAAAAAATTGTGTAAGTCTAAAAAGTTAGAACTTCATATGTAATGTCAACTTGCCAAGTTTAAACTGGAAATAAGGAGGTAGATGTATTTTCATATGTAGTAATCATAGGACATGTAACGCCCGTGTTCATTTGTGGATAAACAGGTAAAGCGTGCTAATATTCCTCTGAACAAACAACCATGAGAATTACCCTCTGAGAGAGCAAGGAATAGAGTGGTGCAAGGTGATGCTAGGGAGTCAAGTAAGGGCTGATGTGGAAGAGTCTTGAAAGCGTTATTAAGATTTGTCTTTTTCCTAAATCCAATGTGAAGACATTGGAGTATTTTAAGCAAGGTTTAACATGCTACAATTTTTATTTCAAATATATACTCTGGAGCTAATTAAAAGTAGATGTAGTTTGTAGTTAAGGAAGCATTTATAAAAGTCTAGGCAGTACATGTTATAATTGGGTGGTAGAAATAGTAAAATGTGGATGAAGCCGAAGTATATTAGGAGGTAAAACTGGAAGTTCCCAGTAAAGAATCAGTAATGTGGAGTATCAAAGACAGGGAGGGGTGGAGAATTACTCTTAAGTTTTTGGCTGGCACAACTCTAGGAAATGATGAAAGGGGTAAGGAACAATTTCAGATTTAGGGGAAAAATGGGTTGGGTTTCAGATATATAGAGCTTAGGATGTCTTAAAGACATCCAAGATGTAAAATGAATAGTTATTTCTAAAATCATGAGCTTAAGAGAGAGGTCTCAGTAGAGATGAGTATCAAGTCCCATTGTTCTGCCTAACCTCATACTAGTCCCATTCTGTTCTGATAACCGTAGCTTTATATTAAGTCTTGACATCAGTATTGTAAATTCTTCAACTTTGTTCATTGTTTTTGTTTTTTAAACTATTCTAGATCCTTTTCATATTCATACAAATTTTAGAATCACCTTTTCAATGTCTTCAGAAATAAAAAATCACCTTTGGAATTGGTTGGGATTACACTGAAACTATAGATGAACTTAGGGAAAATTTTAACACAATAGAATCTTTCTATTCAGGAAAATGATGTATTTTGCTATTTATTTAGAATGTTATATTTTTTCAGAAATGATTTATAGTTTACAGGGTACAGATTTACACATATTTTGTTAAATCTATCCGTATTTTATGTTTTTGATACTATTGCAAATGGTATTTTTAAATTTTCATTTCCAATTTTTAGTTGCTAGTATATGGAAATGAATTTTTAAAATATATGTTGACTTTGTATTCAAAGTCTTTGCTTATCTGCTTAAGTATTTTTTGTAGATTATTTTAAAAAATCATGTAAATACTTGATCATGTTATCTATGGAAGAAATACAGCTTAACTTTCTCTTTCTCTTATATTTGCATTTTATTTCTCTCTCTTGCCTTAATTACACTAGCCAGGGTCTCCAGTCAAACGTTGAATAGAAGTTGCCAAAAGATACACATTTGCCTTGTTCTTTATTTTAGGAAGAAATCAATGTTTGACCCTTATATATAATATTAGCTATAGACTTTTCATAGATTTCCTTTGTAAGATTGAGGAGATTCCTTCTATTGACGGCTTGTAGGGAGTTCCTAACCATGAATAGGAGTTGGTTTATCAAATATTTCCATATATTGAGATGACCATTTCTTCTTTACTTAGTTAATATTGTGTAAGACTGATTGATTTTAAAATGTGGAATCAACATTGCATTTCTGGAACAAGCCCTCTTAATCATGGCATGTTATCCTTTCTACATATAACTGTATTTTGTTAAATTTTTATTAAAGATTTTTATATCTACATTTGTGAGGCACATTGTTCTGCATTTTATTTCTTTGTTTTGTTGTCTGGTTTTGGTATTAAGATAATTCTTTCTAAAAATATATTAGGACATATTCCCTTTTCTTCTTTTTCTTCAAATAATTTATGTAAAATATGTGTGATTCCTTCATGAAATGTTTGGTAGAATTTACTTGTGAAGTCATTCAGGCCTGGAGTTTTTAAGAAAAGGTTTTAATAATTAATTTTATGTATTTTACAATTACAGGGTTACTCAACTTTTCTCTCCTTCTGAAAGTTTTGATAATTGTACTTTTCAATGAATTTGTACATTTCAATGAAATTTTAAATTTATTAGCCAAAATTATCCTTTTAAAGTCTATAGAATATGCGATATTAATCCTCCTGATATTGACAGTTTGTATTCTCTTTATCTCTCTATATCTTTTTGCTGTCATTGATTTTTTCTATTGTTAGGCCTTAGTCTATTTAACTGATATCACTTTTATCTTACTTCCTTATAATTACTTTGAGTTTAATTTGCTCTTATTTCCTTGATGTAGATACTCAGATTACTAACATTATATTTTTTTTAATTTAAGCATTTAAAGCTTTAAATCTCTCTGTAGACACTGCTTTATCTGTATCGCATAAATTTTGTAGGATGTGTTTTCATTTTTAAGATTTTAAATTTTCCTTGTGATTCTTCCACTGATGTATAATTAAGAAAGCGTTGTTCAGTTACAAACATTTGGGCATTTTTTATGACTTTTTGTTGTTGATTTCTAGATAAATTCTGTTGTGGCCAGAAAAG
Organism: Homo sapiens; assembly: GCF_000001405.40. NCBI lineage: Eukaryota > Metazoa > Chordata > Mammalia > Primates > Hominidae > Homo > Homo sapiens. Next base: position 18,807,368 of record NC_000002.12, on the reverse strand, counting down.
ACGTTCTGTATGATTATAATTATTTTAAATGTATAGATAATTTGCTTATGATTGAAAGCACGATCTGTCTTGGCAAATGGTTCATGTGCACTTGTAAACATGTGTATCCTGGCATTATTGTGCAGAGTATTTTTAAATGTCAATTAGGTCAAGATGGTTGATAATGTCATTCAAATCTTATTCTTTTTCTGACTACTTGTTCAACTGATTTCTGAAAGAGGAGCGTTGAATTTCTTTTTCTTTTTTTTTTTTTTTCGAGACGGAGTCTTGCTCTGTCGCCCAGGCTGAAGTACAGTGGTGCGATCTCGGCTCACTGCAAGCTCTGCCTCCCGGGTTCAGGACATTCTCCTGCCTCTGCCTCCCCAGTAGCTGGGACTACAGGCGCCTGCAACCACGCCCGGCTAATTTTTTGTATTTTTAGTAGAGACAGGGTTTCACCGTGTTAGCCAGGACGGTCTCGATCTCCTGACCTCGTGATCCACCCGCCTCGGCCTCCCAAAATGCTGGGATTACAGGCGTGAGCCACCGCACCCAGCTTGAATTTCTACCTGTAATTATGATGTCTAGTTTTCATTTTAGTTTGATTATATATACATATGTATATATCTAAGATTATTCTGTCTTCTTGATAAACTGACTCTGTTATCATTATGAAATGCCCCCTTTAGGTCTGGTAATATTCCTTTTCGTGCAGTCTACTTTGCCTGGTATTGATTTAGAAATCCCATTCTTTTTTATTTTTTTATCAGTAATTGCCTGCCATTTTTTCATACTTATAATCTACTCCTTTACATTTAAAATGTGTTTATTGTAGAAAGCTTATGGTTTTACGTTATCCAATCTGACAATATCTGCCTTATAGTAGTCATCTTCATTTAAAAAAAATGATTTTGCTTACAGATTTTCTCCCCCCAGTACTTTAGAGAGGTTGTTTTGTTTTCTTCTCACTTGATTGTTCCTGACAAGAAGTCAGCAATTATTTTTATTTCTGTTCTCTTGTATTTAATATGTTTTTCCTGCCACATTCTTATTTTAGATTGCTTATTTATTAATGGTTTTCAACAATTTAATTATTATGCCTTAATGTGGTTTTCTTTGTGGTTATTGTGTTTGGGATTGGTTGAGTTTCTTGGATCTATGTGTTTATACTTTTCATCAAATTTAGAAATGCAATATGGTTATTTTTTCTTCAAATATTCTTACACCTCCTTTTTTTCTGTAATTCCAATTATACATATATTGGATTACGTATAATATAACCACAAGTCACCGGTTACTGAAAATATGTTAATTTTCATTTATGTTTTTTTTTATTCTCTCTTTTAGTTTGGTTAGTTGATATTGCTATGCCTTCAAGCTTACCAACTGTTTTTCCATTTGCAGTGTCTAATCTGCTAATTTCATCAAGAGTATTATTTTTATATATTATTACATTTTTTGCTCCAGAAATTGTTTATTTTTCTACATCAACTATTTATCTCCTTGTTATATTCACGTCTTCCTTTAGCTTTTGAGTATACTTCTAATAATTCTAATGTTTTTGTCTGCTAATCTTTTTTTTCCTGTGTTGATATCTAATGACTATTTTTTTTTTTTGCTTGTTATTGGTCAAACTATTCTGTTTTATTGCATGTATGGTAATTTTATCAGATTCTGGGAATTATAATGTTATGTTATTGAAAGTTTGGACTTAATTGTCTTATTTTGAAGAGTTTCAAACTTTGCTTTAGCAGAAAGTTAAGTACCTTGAAGGTCAGCTTGATTCTGTTAGGAATTTATAAAATGTTATTTGAATAAGTATAAAATAGCCTTTGCTCTAAGGCTCCATTAGTTTTACCAGTAATGTGTCTTTGTTGAACACTGGGTGTTAATCCGATGTTTCTTCACTTTGGCTCTTCAGAACTTAAACTTGTCCCAGCCCTGTGTGAGCTCTGGAAATTATTCATGTTATAGCTCCCTGGCTGTTCTTTACCCAACTTTTTGGGCATGTTACATTTTATGTACAGTTTAGTATTCAGCAAAGAGAATTAAGAGATCTTCAAAGCAAGTTACTACAGCTCTTCATCTGTGTATTAGTCAGCTCGGGCTGCCATACCAAAAATATTACAAACTGGATGGCTTAATTAACAGACTTATTTTCTCAGTTTTGTAGGCTAGAAGTTCATGATCAGGGTGCCAACATAATCAGGTTCTGCCGAGGGCTTTCTTTTTGGCTTGCAGATGGATAACTTCTTTCTGTGCACTCACATGACCTCTTGTTTGTGCATAAATGGTGAAGGAAAGCCAGCAACTTCTCTGTGTATAAGGGCACTAATGCCATTATGAGGATCCCATCCTCATGACTTCATCTAAACCTAATTACTTCCCAAAGGCCCCATCTCCATATTCCATTATATTGGGGATTAGAGCTTTGACATATAAATTTGGAGGGAAGTTCCTTCATTTTTGGTACTCTGTTTCACAAAATCCAATTGTCCCAGTCTCCTCAAGCTCTTCTATTTTCCTCTTTATTTCATTACAACCATCATGCTCTGCTTGGCTTTCCCCTTCCTGCATCATGTTCCAGTAAATGCCTCCTGGCATCAAGCTGGGAATGATCATAATGTATCACCTCCTCTTTCCCTTCTGTCATGCATCACAATACTGCACTTCCTGTTATGCATTGTCTCAAAGTAGTGTATATATATATACTTTAGTTGTTATGGTATTTACAGTAGGAGTGCACATCCGGTGGCAATTGTTTGAATTAGCAAGAAACAGAAGCCTGAACTATGTACTTTTGAAAGGAAAATATAAAATAAACTGGTAGAACCAATGATTTTGAGGAAAATTTATAATCAAAGTAACTTATTTGGGTAGAGTGGAAGAAAGATGGGTATAAGAATTCATTATTTTGGAAATTGAGTATTTATTAGTAGTGGCTCAGTGTCACAATTTGGTAAGGTTACTCCCTCTCTACTTGACAGACAAATGGCAAGAAAGTGGAAAAATACTAATCAGTTAATTGGTACTACTGTGAATATATATTTACATATTACTTCCTAAGATACATGTACATCCAATTATTTATTAATTCTGTTACGAAGCATTCACTGGATATCACCTATGGTTAAGACAAAAGGATATTAAAACTCAAAATTATAAACTTTACCTTATAGGTAGGATGAGGCTCTGGGAAGCAAATTAATCTTAGGAGAAGACATCAAAACTGAGTAGAATAGAACTTTGGGAGTAGAAGTTAGAAGTTATCCTACTTAATGCATTTGATGATTTTTAATAGAAATATTTTAGATAAAAATACTTTACTACATGTATAAACCTTTATATCTTTAGACAGTTGTGAGATTGCATACTATTGAGGGAAATAAACCAGTCCATCCATCTATTTCTCTGTCAATGCCTCATAAAAAATAGCTGGTTTATGTTTCAGACACAAGGCAAAACAAGAGTCCATGGAGTATTTTCCTTTCCAAAGTGTTCCAGAAAATTACAAGTTATATTATTTGGAATTGATTTCCATATTATCAAAGGTTCCCTGTTACCCAAGCATAAGCCAGAAAGGTGATACAACTTAGTGAGTCAGGCAGAATGGACTACAATCCTGGCTCTGTATCTGAGTAGTTCTGCAACTCTGGGAAAGTTGCTAATGAGGAAAAAGAAACAGCATACAGATGTAAGAAATATGGAGCAAAAATGTACACGAATAGTGGCTGAATGGCTAAATAGAGAAAAAGAGTCACAAGTTGTTTCTTGTTTCCAAGCTGGAAGCATTTGAGAATATTGGCACTGTAAAATAAGATAGAAGAAGGAGGTCTTAAGAAAAGTCAGAAAAAATTCTTAAGAAAAAATTCAATTGGAGTCATGCAGAATTTGAGATATAGGTAAATCTCAATGTTGGGCTGCCAGTGCCAGGTGGAGTTCTCAGGTAGACATTATATATTTGAAATTAAATACCGAAGCTCACAAGGGAAACTAGTTATTATACAAACATTTATTTAACCAACAATAGTCAAATACTTTTCCCACAGACACTGTGCCAAATGCTAGAGATTCAGAGTAAAACTCTCAGTCACTACCTTCAAGGAGCTCACCTTAATGGAACCAGGGATTTAGTTAAGACTGATTATGCTATCCCAAGTACCCCATGATTGGGGCTAAGATAGAGGTAGGGACACAGTGCTGTGGAAATGCCTAAGAAATGAGAGGTAAGGAATCAAAGTAGGCTTCCAGAGGAATTGAACTAAGTCTTGAAGAAATCAGAGTTTGCCAAGCAGAGAAGTGGAGGAAAGCCTTGTAGTCAGTAGAGGCAGGGTATATAAAAGTATAGCAGCTTCTGCCAGTATTACAGGCTCAGAAAAATCTTAAGGACGTGTATATAATTTCTGACAGCACAACATTCATCATTTTCCTCTTGCCTCACTGACCATTACATTTGTTACATATTGCTACCTTCCTCTCTGCTTTGCTCCTAACTGATGGTACTCTTTCCTGGGGGGCTTCTCTCCTCTGTCCTCATCCTCGTCCTAAGGGATCACATCTATGGCTTCACATATTTTCATGTTGACAACTTTTCACTGAGCTCTAGACCTTTACAATCCATTGATATATCCACACAACAACCCCCTCACAGAAGAAAGCAAAACAACAAAACACCTAATTTTCCTACGTTTTCCAAACCTACTCAAAGCCTACTCTTCCCCATAAACAGCAAAATAATCCGCCAATTATTCAAAACAAAAAATTAGGAGCCAACCATTATCCTTTTCTTTCCCCTGCCTCCTGCATCAAATCAATTAGTGCATCCTTATGACTTTTTCATATTTCCAAAATATCATAAAATACATCTATTCATCTCCATCTTTACTACGAATACTTTAGTCCTAGCTACCAACATCTCCCACTTGGACTATAGTAACAGCTTCCAAGCTGACTCCTGACAGACTCTCTTGCTCATATACAGTGATTTTTCTACTCAATTGTGACCATTGAGAGATTGCTTTCTCAGCCAGTGGGACAAAAACCACACCACAGAGAGTTCAGAAATAAGTGTTTAATGAAGATTTTTATTAAATAAGTGTTTAATGAAGACTTTTATTAAATACATGTTTAATGAAGAGTTCAGAAATAAGTGCTTAATGAAGAATTAGTTAATTTATTGATTAATTGAATTTGAGGAAAATTTGAACATTCATTTAGGAAGATGTCAAAGTATGAGTAGAAAGGGAAAAAATGAATACGCAAAATGATCATCGATAAAACTCAAATTCTAATGCACTGAAGGGAGGTGCGACGGCACCAGGGATAGGAAGGTAGGCTCTGGAACTAGGTGATTTTTGTTCATATATGAACAATATGACACCAGCAAATTATAAACCTTGCTAAGCCTCAATTTTCTCTTAAGGTAAATGGAATTGACTCATGGTTGTAAATGCGTAAAGGGCTATATCTATAAGTGTAAATGATCTATATGCGAAAAGGGCTTCACACAGAGCCTGGCACAAAGTAAATATAAGATTTTAACACTTTTTAAAAATTAATGTATAGATATACAGAGATGTTTTGAGGTAAAAATACTGTAGATCTTCAATCTCCTTTGTAAAGTAAAAGTCAAGATCATCTGTGAGGAGCAAATGCAGGTCTCGAAGAGTGAATAATAATAAGCAACTCTTAATTGACTATGCTATGTAAAATATAATACAATGTGAAATATCTCATATACATTTGTTATGCTTCCAATAACTCCATGAGGTCAATACCAATATTATTCCCCTTTATAGATTTTGAAATTGAAGCCAAAAAAGGTACAATAACTTCCCCAAAGTCACATAGATAATAAGTCAGGATTTGAACTTAAGTCTACAAAATTCTGTTCTCTAAATTGATGTACTGTATACCTAGCAATTCCCTAGGCTGCAGATATGAACGGACATGTCTCAAACCATATTATCATCACCACCTTTTCAACAAAATCAGAATAAGACAAAGATATTTTTATATTGCATTTGTTGATACCCCTCCTTTATTGAAACGTACTTTATACAACTAATAAAAGCAATCAGAGTGTCCCTCAGAGTTCCTTTGTAACAGATTTAGCCTGCCACAGAGCAGAAACTCAAATTCCACAGAGAAGACGAAAACATCCATCATCTTGAACCGTTACAACACTGGTGGCTGAGAGAGAAATCTGTAGAGGACAAGGATCCCAAGCAGATGACAATAAAGTTAACTTATTTTTTATAGGAAATGCTAAAATAAAAATTTCTTTTCAGAAGTCTCTTTTATACCTCAAGCATGTTCTAAATATTTGCTCTTCAGGTTTCTGTAAGAACTACCATGTCTTTGCACACAATACACAAAAATAACCCTAGCCTGACCTGGAGCTTTGGGGCCCAGAGGGTGATAAATCTGTTGGCCCCAATTTGGAGAGCAAAGTATTTTCTAAAGATCACAGTGCACTCCATGCACACAGGCCTACAAGTGCTTTCAGAGGTGCCCCCTAGTAAAATCGTGACCAGTGCTTTGATCTCAGGGTCTCTTTCTTTTTGTAACATGTCCGAATACCTGGGATTAGGAGGCAGGCTGGAGTCGGAGCAAAATTAAACAAACAGTAGAGAGTGACCAGCCAGGATGGCTTCAAGTGCTGAGGTCATGTGTTTGCCTCTCTACTTGCAGACCAAGGTGAAAAGTGCATCCCAAGCTCCGGCCAAATATGGTATATAAACAAACATGAAAGAAGGATTAGCTCTCTTGCCTGAGACTAATGGGGACACCAAATATCAATAGCTGATTTGTGACAACAAGACTAAGTCAATATTGGAACAAAAGATACTGGCTGTATTCAACTTGCCCTTAATCTCAGGTAAACTTGTACTAAGTTAAACAAGTATTCATTCCCCTGGCTACAACTCTGCCTGACTCGGAAGAACTACTGATGTAGAAGATACACACAAAACTCACCACTTGTTTCTTCTAATCAGATCCCTTTTTTCTCCTTTTCACTCAGACTCATGACAGATTGCTGTTTGCAGACCCTTTTGTCCTAATTCTAGTTCACCCAGCAAGAGCTCTGCATGGAGAAATGGACGCAGGCAGTGAGCTGCTCACTGTTCCACCCATGTCCTACATTCCCAACACAAGCAAAGAAGCATCAAGAGCAGGGTCCTCTGCAAGGGAAAAGATTGCTGATGCTGAAATTGCAACATGAAAATTTCCCTTCAGCTAACTGATGGAAGCTCGCAACTCCATGAGACACATGACCTCAAAGTTTATGAGTATTAGGGCTAACTCTGTCACAAAATGTCTTAAAGACTTTAAATTGTACTACAGATTCAAGACCTCCACATCAAAGTCTCTTATGAGTTGGTGGTGATAAGTGGCTAAATCCCAAGGCCCACAGTCTCTGCTCCTGAGACAGAGTTCATAAGATGTAAGAGTCCTAGACCAGCCTCTCCAATACACATCTATTCAACATATTTTGGTTTATTGGACCAACTTTTCTGCATAGAGTTTTTCCAAAAACTGCCAAAAGGAAAAAAAGAATTAAAGATTCAGGCATGTGCACTATTATCATCTACATTTTACAAATGAGAAACATGCTGGAGACCAGAAAATACATAAAGGATGACTCCAACCCACATGTCCATTGACTCTGGCTCCAGCTCCAGCAGCATGCTCAGGGTCTGCTGTGAGATCTCAGCACAAGTTTTCATTTCTCTGAACTTTAGCTCTTGCAGCAATAAAAGCTATGCTTAATATACATCCGGCAGTTCTGTAATGAGTAGTCAACAGAAAATGTGTGTTGGATACTTGGAAACAGCTCGTAACATAGAGATGAGTAAGTATCAAGTTCTCCTCTATTGTTTTCTTTCATAAGAAAAAAGGAGCTATATCCAGCACTATTTTCTGTGTCACCTCTTGTCACTGTACCTTTGCCTCCTATAGTTTTCCAACTATGTCCTTCTGAGATTTTATTTCACATTGTAGATGACATGCTAAATCATTTTAGAGAGATTATGCTGTTCTTTGGGAATATATATACATTCATGTCCCAAAGAATATATATATATGAACACATATATATGAACATATATATGAACACATATATGAACGTATAAATATATGAACGTATATATATGAACATATATATATGAATGTATATATATGAACGTGTATATATGAACGTAATATATATGAACGTGTATATATGAACATATATATAAAAAAGACCAAGAGAGGAAAGATGAGCCCCTTCCTGATGAAACAGTGACATGAATATATATATGAACATATATATATACTTATGAGCATATATATATACTTATGAGCATACATATATATACTTATGAGCATATATATATGTGTGTATATATATATATATATATATATTCATGTCACTATTTCACCAGGATGGGGCTCATCTTTCCTCTCTTGGTCTTTTTTACTTACCTGAGAGTTTGGGTCTTAGAGTTTTGATGAAGAATAAGGAGCTGATCCAGAAGAAACACGGGATGCTGCTCCCTGGGTCTGTACTGCATCCACAGTTGCTGAGGGATGACCCACTGGGAGTGTTCAGGGAGATTGGGAGAATTAAGTTAGAAGAGTGGAGTCTAACCCTCCTCTCATTTCATGAATGGGCAAATCATAGCAGAGATGAAAATAAACTTTCTGGGAATTCAGGACAATCCAGTGAACAGCTTCCTGTATGCTCTGATGTCAGAGGCACTAGGGAAACTTCCCATCACCTTCACACCAATAATAATAAAATATTCACACATAGAGTACTTGCATTAGTCCATTTTCACACTGCTATAAAGAACCATCTGAGACCGCATAATTCATAAAGAAAAGAGGTTTAATTCACTCACAATTCCACATAGCTGGGAAGGCCTGAGGAAACTTGAAATCATTGTGGAAGGAGAAGGGGAAGCAAGGCACGTCTTACATAGCAGCAGGAGAGAGACAGAGAGCGGGGAAGTGCCACACTTTTAAGCCATCAGATCTCATGAGAACTCACTCACTATCATGAGAATAGCATGGAGAAATCTGCCCCCATGATTCAATCACTTCACACCAGGTCCCTCCCCTGACACGTGGGGATTTTAGTTCCACATGAGATTCGAGTGGGGACACAGAGCCACCATTATTATCAGTACTTATTTTTAGGCAATTGACTAATTGCAACACATTCATTAAAAAGCACCATTTTGGCCTAGTGTTGAATGGCTGATTATTAACAGCAAAATTTGACTGGAAGCCAAGGCGGAAACCAAGTAACAATATTCATAGAGTGAACTTTTGAAATACAAGAATAAATCCGAAGTTTTATCAAAAAGAAAATATCATTGCAATGTTATCTTCAACATTTTATACTCAAATTTTAAAAGATTGATATAGTGTAGGAAAAATTATTTAACACTATCAGTTGCTGGATTTCTCTGGCATTCAGTATACTGCACATTTGCAACAATAAGCAGATGCTCATTTTCAACCAAGGTGAATAGAGTGAGATAGTTTTGGTCTGCTCTGCCAGTATAAGGCACTGTTGAAGTTAGACTTGCTAGCAAGTTATTAAGCTTTCCTTCTTATCAGGTTATAACTGACTGAAGTGAACATTGATCTCCTCTTCATCTTTCCTAAAGACATAGTCACTGAAGCCACCTCATGAGCCAAAAGCTCTGCACTTCTTTGAAGACGATGCTTCCTGAATATTTTGAGAAGCAGGCCTGAGGCTCTTGACCTTACTCAACATCATATGCATATTTAATCCTTGAAACAATCCTTTGAGTGAGTCATTATTTCTATTTTACCATGAAGAAATTAAGAATTAGAAATGTTAAGTGACTTAACTAAATCAGTAAACGGTGAGAATTTAAACCCAAGTGGTCTCAACTTTATGCACAATGCTACACTGTACTCCAAACAATTTTTTAACCAAACAGGCAATTGTTTATTGAATGCCTGCTATGTGTCTGGATTTACATTTACATATATTCATTAATTCTTACACAACAATTCAAAGTAACCATTCTTATGGCTACTTCACAAACGGCCTGAGAGCTAACCAATAACTAGTACAGTGGCAAACCCAGGATTTGAAGCCAAATATGTAAGTCTTAAATATACTTAAGTATACCCAGTATACTACCCTGTGTCTCACCCTTTTTAAACACACAGAAGATTCTTTCAATAATATTCAGCAATTATTATTGGGCTCTGATCATAATACCACATACTGGTAAAGTCCAAGGTCTAACATTTCCATAAGATGTAATGAGGTCTCATTCCACATGGAAACTTAGATTCATGTTGTCATTCAGGAAAAAAAAAATACACAATAACACAGCACATGAACACACACACAATACAGCAAAAAGTAGATTTAGATTAGCACAAAGAAACAAAAGAAAAGCTGGGGAGCAAGAAACCAACTGCTTAGGTCTTTGCCATTTTGCTCAGGGTCTCTTCAATAAGAGGAGGTGTGAGGTTAGAAGACAGAAGAGCCAACTTCATGGCAGTAGCCTCCAGCAGGCCAACCTCTTCTCTTCCATACACCTGGGATAGGCAAGGAGGCACCAAGGCAACTGAAGTTCGCTGCTGGGAATAGGCTGAAGTTAATCTCTTCCTGGCGATATTTGTTTTTACTGAAATATCTTCCCCCACTTCCAGTTAGCCAGTTTTCCATTATGTGAGTCAATGTGACAGTTTAAACCAACAGAAATATTGCTTTGTTCTCCTAAAGTGTGGGTTAAATGCAATGTTTAACATAATGAGCCCAAAGGGGAAAATGGTTCACAGTAAAGATAAATACTCCTCTTTAAAAGATTGACCCAATTAATAACTAGATGGTAAAAAGTTTGCAAACAAGGAAAGGGAAACAAGGTTTCTCTTTTTCTATTTTTTTAAAATTAAATCACAAGGTCTATTGTTTTTTCTTAAAGCCTGAATACTGATGTATTTCATACATTATGGCTATTTTCTTAAAGGAAAAATATAAAACTATTTTATTAACCACTGTTCCCCCATATTTACTGTAAGGTAAATAGCAGCCCTAGGTAACAGCTCTTTTTCTCCTAAATTACAACTTCCCCTTGCTCCCCTGAGACCTAACTAACTCCAGTTTGACAAAGATTGATCCTCAGTCGAGACTGAAGAAGTTATGCCTCTCACAATGCACTCTTCACTTTGCAGTTCACAGTGGCTGAATTCCAAATCCTACCCAAACTGCTCAGGAGTCATACTTTCACTATTCCCAGCAAAACCTAAACTTGTTTCTTAAGAAGGTTCTTGCTAACATTGCTTATTACAATGAGTTCTTGAATATTGCCTTTCTCTTAGCTAACAGCAGGCTGTGGGTTTAATTCTAAATGAATCAGAAACATATGGCTTGCCTTTTTCTTAATAGTACACTGGGTTTTTATAATTAAAGGAGAACAGTGCTACAGGCAAAGTAGGCTTTGAGAAGCTATTGGAAGGCAAACATTGAGTGGGATTGAGGATAGTCCATAAATGCAAAAGACAACCCCACTTGGCTTTGGATTTTGCAATCCTGAGCTACCAGGGAGAACACCAAACCCTTCATGGAAATTGTTAAGAGAACATTCATTCCACTTGCACTCTTTCTTCATTATTAGTTTTGTTTCTCATATTCATTGCCCGCTCCCCTGCTCCCAACCACACTTCTGGTTTCTTTATTAAGCTCTCCTTTCTTTTAAAAGTTAATACACTACAATTTGTTTAGAAGTTTCTTTATCCTAAGACCCATATAACATGAACGAGATGCCCCGTATCATATTAAGGGTGTGACCAAAGACTTGTCCCAAGATGATGTTTCATTAACTTCATTATTAAGCAATCTTAATGTCAATCTCTTCAAATACTCATGGGGACTTTATGCTGTTCTCTTCATCTTTCTGACATCTTTATCAGGTGCGAGTGCTTAAGTGAAAGAAAGAGGAGGGGGATATCCTGCACAGCTGGGCTGCAACGTGTCAATTGCAATCTGCCTTGGAGAAGTCACTTCATTCTTCTGAATCTCAGTTTTTTGCATCCACAACGTGGGAACAATCATAATGCTACATTAGAGGGCTGTGGTAAAGGTGAAATAAAATGGTGAATTAACAATTTTTTTAAAGTTGTATTCAGATTAATTTGAATTTGAGTTAAAACCAATTATCTTAGAGATGCTCCATATTTGAACATCTTTATGCTTTTCCTTAGATTTCGTTACATCATTTTGGAACATCAGTTTTCCTCATACAGACAGAAGCTGGATAAACCAAGTGTCTACTTGGTATATTTATTACCCAAATCCCTTTAAGTGGAATTCCCTTAAGAACTCCAACTCTTTCAAACTTCAGTCCTTCTGCGAGTCTCTGAACCAACCAACCAGATGTTAGAGACAGCCAAATGAAGTAAACATGAGGACAAAACCATCTTCTAAACTAGAGTTGGATATCCCTACCTTCCGTTTTTTAGTCTGTCACCTGCAAATCTTCCCCGACGAAGCACTCAGTCTGACATTCACCTATGGCCTTCCATGTGCCCCATGCTGAACTAGGACATTTTATATGTGCAGCCTTGTTTAACTGTATCTCCACCCAGTGTATGTTAGGTAAGTAGGAGTTGAGTCACACATCCAACCTAAACCAGGGATTCTGAGGGAATCCACACCTGACCCCCAGAATTCTAAAGCCAGAAATAAATCAAGCACTATATTGATTAGGACATAAGAACCATGTGGTGAGCTCCCACCTGCTGCCTGGGAACCTGAGGGCTGCTCCACTACATGGCTCCTTGGACTGTCTGTCTCAACAGTGTCCCTCCCCACTCAGACATTTGGGTAGTCTCTGGCCAGCACTCTGGGAAGGCCTGGCTCTGGAAAGGGTTAAGCCTCCAAGATGTAAGCCCGTGTCAAGTACTTTAGGCCAAGGGAAGCAAAAAGAATGGCAGAGACCAGCAATGGGGGTTCTGCATCAAAAAGGGCTACAATACCACACAGTGGAGGGGCCATGGAAGAGGCACTGGAAGCCCAGGGCACCTCCACATACTCGCTAAGTGACCACAGTGAAGAATCCGGAGTGAAGAATCATAACTGCCCCAACCTTGATAACTGTGCCACCTGGCCCCAGTCCCATCATTCTGAGATGAGCACAGTTCCCGTAAGTCTGAGCTGGGCACAGTTATCAAGGTGGGGTAAGTATGGAAACTGGGGCCAGATTCTTCTTTCTTGCAAAAGTCACTATTCCGGGGTTCACTTTCCTCATCCGTGAAATAGGTACGACAATCTCAGCCCTTCCTATCTTACATGGAAATGATGGAGGTTAAATAACATTTTAAAAACACTAAATATTTGCTTATGTGCAGTGTTGAGAATTACACAGATGCAATCACTGACCATCTGTGAGGTATCAGGATGGCAACAGGCCCTGGCTCTCCTTCCTGCAGTGGTAGATGAGGGACATCTCTAGACCAACCTCTGCACAGGCTTTCCTCTTCCTGATCTTTCCTAGGTCATGACGGTAACAGCCAGGTGCCCTCACTACCTTCCTTGACTAGACCCAGGGCCTCCTACCCTGGCCTCTGCTGAGAGTCTCCTCAGGGTGGAGCTGAGGGAGAGGCCAAAGGGCCTTCAGAAATTTCTCTCCAGAATGGGACAAGGCACTGCCTCCTCTCAGGACCAGGATAAATCACCACAGAAACAGGACTCATCAAATGAGGGCAAGGCAATCAGTTAAAGGGAATGCAAATCTGGAGGAATGGAAATAAAATGCAGCCAGGTGCAGCCACCAAAGAAACGATCAAAGGTATCCCATGGGAAGAAACATGGCTCACTGAAGAGAGGCACTATCGGAAAGCTCTTCCCTGCAGTGTTTATTAATCAGTGCCCTTGCATCCAGCGTACAATTATGAACGATTTATTGTATCCATGTTCAGAACACATAGGATATTATTCCAGATGGGATACAGCAGACAAGTTGAGAGCACAGGGATTAAAAGAAAGAAAAGAAAATGAGAAGAAAGAACAAATGTGAGAGTAGAGAAACAAGGCCCAAGAGAATAGAGAGAGATACCAATCCCCAGGAGAATGAAGTCACATTTTTTTGTGCAGAATGAAAGTTAAGCTGTGTCCATGGTTGACAGAAAACAAAATGCAGTAGCATAAACCATTTATTTTCTCACTTGCTTTCCCCCCTGGAACCTCACCAATAAAATTAGACTCCTGAGTTCAACCAAATCTCTGTGATCTCAAACTATGCTCCTTTGAAAAATACTATAGAAAAAAAAGCATGTGTGTATGTATCTGTGCATATGTGTGTACATCTGTATGCACGTGTAGTGTGTGCATGCATGTGTATGTGGGGCATGTGTATGTGTGCATGTGTGTGTGCCTGCATGGGGTGTGTGTGTGTGTGCACGCGCGCGCAGTGGGGCAGAGCAGCTCCCTTTCTAGGGTCTGGGCACACTTTGCTGCAGGAGCCTTTCCAGTAGGAAGACTCAGACAAGCAAGCCCAGCTCAGGTTTCATGAGGCTTCATCTTGTCTGAAGGCTGGTCACAGAGCAAAGTCGGGTATATTTCAGAGGCTGATTAAAGCTCTCACAAATGCCAGCTTCTATAGTTTCAATAACTATTAATTTAAAGAATATATTTGCCTGGAAAAAAAAAAGAAAAACATTGCAAACCATTCCTGTTTTATCGCCGAGAGGGTCCTTCCTCTGCACAGATTCTTTCCTTCATCATGAAGTGAGCAAGTCTGAGCTGGACAGTTATCAAGGTGGGGCAATTATAGGAACTGGGGCCAGCTTCTTCCAATTAGGTAACTGTGCACAGACCTTTGCCATGGTGACAGCAAAAAAACTACCGCTCAATCCCCCATTCCCACTGTTCAAGTGATAAATGACCCTCAGGCTTCTCTCCCCAAAGCCAAGCAAGGCCTGTCTCTGGACAAAGGCCAGGGAAAACAGAAAAAGATTTATAAGAGCCAAAAGCAGGGTGAAGAAGAGCTGCAGGGCATAGGGGAAAGACCAGTGAGAAAACATGGTGCGTTTTAGTAGCTGCATGTTACTTTATGAGGACTGGGTTGGGTCAGAGGGGGAGTTGGGGATCTGGCGAAGAATAAGTGGCCATAGTTAAATAGCCAGGCTGGGAGAGCTCTGTTGGCCCTGCTCTTTGGAAAGAGGGAGCTCCGGACTGCAAATCTCAGCCTGGCTCTTTCCTTCACCCCAGTTCTTTCTAAACAGACACCACTAAAGGAATGTATTTAAAACTAAGGAGACAAATGGAGACAGAGAAAGAGTGGTCATGTACTGCTGAGATTAAAAGGCATGATGGTACAATTAAAGATATTTACCAGAGAAATTTGAGCCCCATTACATGCTGGCGTACAGTATGTGAAGAAGAACTGTTTTATATCATTAAAGACAAAAACCAGGTCTATAGGTAAGCTTTAAGAACAATAAACATCCTGAATTCAAGAATAAGTCTGTCAAATGAAGGGATATTGATTTTGGAACAAGGAATATTATGTCAAACAACATTAGTTTAATTGATCTGAATTTAGTTTAAGTACTAAAAGCATTTATATACAAACAGCAAATGAAAATTAACTGCAGCTGAGTCTTGCTGCTTGTTCTCAGGGGTGCGGCGCGGATGAGAACCTGGCACCGAGGAGGCCTGGTTGGAGTCTTGAACACACGGAAGAGCTGGGGTTTCTTCCCAGCACGACAATGAGGAAGGCAATGTGCTTTCTCTCAGAGGTAGGAACATTTAACACTGGCCCTTGACTTCTCAAAATACACAAATACTGTTTCTTGCTCTGGAGGAATTCATAAGAGAACAGGGGTGAGACAAGGAATGAGTCAGTCCCTGAGTACAAGAGAGGCTTCTGGTCCGGAGGTGAGTGAATGAGACAGTCCCTCCTCTGCCTCTGACTGCTTGGCCCCATCTGAACCAATGTCTTAATAAAGCCTGCCTTTGCTCTGCACAGAGCTCTCCCTTTCAGCTGCTGCCAGGCCCTCGGAGACCCAGGTAGAGGTTCCAGGAAAGTCGGTGGGCATGGGGCCAGAGACAGGACAGGTTCTCAAGAAACAGTACCAGCTTTAGTCCCTCCATGAGGGTAAAATGGAGAAATAATTCAAGAGTGCCCAAACCCACTCCTTTCTTGTGTTCTTGTTTTCTACTAAGAAAAAGGAAAGAAAGGAAAGAGAGAAAAAAAGAAGGAAGGAAGGAAGAGAGAGAGACAGAGAAAAAAGAGAGAGAGAGAAAGCAAGCAAGCAAGCAGGGAGGGAGGGAGAGAGGGAAGGAAGGAGGGAAGGGGAAGGGGAAAGGGAAGGGGAGGAAGGAAGGAAAGAACCACTTTTTTTTTTTAAATCTCTTCCCACATTGATCCCATAGAACTCACTCTGGGATGGATCTTGAGAATGTTCAGGAAGGGCTCAGCGATAAACCCAGGGCAGAGATGCACATTTTCTATTTTGTTACTAAAACTTCGTGTGCAAAAATAAGCGTGGTTTGGGGTTAGGCAAGGGAAAAGCCAGTGAACCCTTTGGAAGTGCATCAACTTGTCATAGGTCCATGTGAATGGCTGAGGGTGTGAAGACTTCACTATGTGTCAGACTCATTATTTAATGTCCAGTCAGCTTAGGAGCCAACCATGTTTCCACTTTGTTTTCCAAAGGCCTGACAAAGGCCCTGGGGTGTTATTTTGTTTACATATTGCCACCTGTGTACTCTCTCTGAAAGCCAAATCTCCACTCCAAGATCAAAGGGCAGCTGAGTCTTGGACCATTAAGTGGAGCTGGAAGAAAGATCTCTCCACCTCCAGCCTTCAGCTTTCACTCAAACCACAGATTGTTCTATGTTGTAAGATTTATAGCTTTGCTTGTGAACATGATCACAAAAACCAACAGAAATAGCCTAAAGTCATGGTTCTCTATCTGTTCAGACCCTTGCCAAACACATCAAGTATGGTCTCAGGGTTTTCTTCGTAAAAGGACCTTTAGGTGAGCTCTGGAGATACCAGAGTTTCCAATCTCTGTTTTGATTTCCTCTTGAAATGCTTTTCTATTCATACTCATTTGAAACATTTTCCATCAAAATATTTTCCCCTGATGTTCTCAGTCATTATGGCCAGTGGAGGAGCAGACTGACACATGACCAGGATGACAGCCACCTGGGAAGACAGATGTCACTTGCTGAGGACAATGCAATAAGAAAGAGGACGCTGGTCAAGGCTGATGAAACATTCTGGGAACATTCACTCTGTGCAAGATACTATGGATACTATGTAGTTAGTGTTTTTTAGACTCGAAAGAACTAATATTCCTGGGATAATATTCATGTTATATTTGCTCATCAAATGTCTATTGAATACCTTTGATGTGCCAGGCCTTATGCAGAGCATGCATGAAGATCTGCACACATTCCCACCTTAGTCAAGAGGAGCAGGTGATTCCAGCATGCCTAGCTTATACCTGCTGAAACAGAGGTACACACAAGCTTCTAAAATAATCTTGAAGACAAAGCAATTTCTCTTCCAAGAAAGAAGAGGGGTTTGTCAAGTCTTAACCCAGAAGCCTACAAGCTGGGATGCATGGATGGGAAGAAAGGAGATGCCCTGAAGAGCGACCAGCAAGAATAAAAGCACACAGAGGGTGCCGATGATGTCTGCACCACGCTAAGGAATCAAGGATGTCAAATTGCAGGGACTGTAGTAGGAACCTGGCAAGAATCCTAGGCAGTCACACTCATGGCTTACTAACACTATTAAAATTGGTTTTCTTTCCCCTTGAGAGGCTATAATGGACTGAGAGGCAGATGGTCTTTGGTTTAAGTCAGTGTCCTCCATTTCTTAGAGGATCTTGGGTGCATCACTTAACCTCTCTAAACTCCAGCTTCCTCCTGTGACACATGCAGAAATGAACAGTTGTCCTACCTTTCCACGAAAGTAGAGATCTTGTGTGAGTAAGCCCTTACACAGACAGGCTAGGCTACAAGGGCCTTCAGTGATAAGACCCAGAGGGGCTCACACAGAGAAATGAAGTGAGAAGAAGTGTAAGACTTTCTCTGCCCTGAATTTAGGAAAAACTCCCAGTAGTTCTCCCCATATGATGCCGAGTAAGTCGCATCATTTCCCCAGGCTTTATTCTTCTCATCCACAAAAAAGGAGCGGAAGGCCAGGGTTCATTTTTAAGTTTTCTTCCAGTTTTAACGTCCAACGACAGAGTTTAAAGATCGTTGGGCAAAATTTTCAGATTCCTGAAGACTTTGTTTGAATCCACCTCCTGGAGTGTAACTGTTATATGTCTGAACATTACAAATTATGAAATATTAAATAAATATATGTGCATATACATAAACACATGTGAGTATATATAGACACACATGTATATATGTAACTCAATTGTTCCAGCCAGGGACATCCGTCCAATGCCTGGAGTTTCTCTTTTTCTTTCAGGATTCAGCATTTGGCCTAGTTCCAACGTATTCCCGAGTTTCTGAATCTTGTTCCCACAAAGATCTGTCTTCTCTCTCTGGTTGAAAGAAATGCATGCTGGGCATCCTGCCAAGCACTTGGAGGCCTCCTGGAATTCTGCTGTGACCCCTGGGGTGTGCCGCTTTCCTGTGTCACAGCTCTGGAGTAAGGAGGGAGGCCTACGGTGCCCTTGCTGTAGTTAAGTGTTAAATATTGGGGCATAAAAAGTGTACTCAGGCTCACAACTGAACTCTCCAGATCTGTCTCCAGAATCCCAGCCAACTGTGTCCTGAGGCATCCAGGGTCTATGGAGTAACCCACAGAAGGAAGAGGGGAACCCCTGAGCTCTTTCAGTCACCATCACTGATACTCTCTCTTATCCTGAAGCAGCCTTTCATTGTTTATAGAACACACATATACCCTTGACATGAAGTAAGTTAAAGCAGGTCTTTAGCATCCAAATAAGTACTTAATTCTTATGCCTGTGGTCCTAGGCGGGTAGTCTTTTGAGGAAATTTCCTCTTACTGAACTCTAGCAATGCTGAAAGTTCCCAGTTACACCCTGACTAGGAATATTTTATTCTCAGGTTTAAAGGACAGAAGGGACTAAAGTTGACCATTGGCAAAATGGGGAAAAACTAAAAGATGAGAGGACTGGATCCTCCTCTTTCATGCCCTGTCCACAGCAAGTTATCACTTCTACTTCTCTCATAGCCTTCTTCTGCCTCCTGGCAACAACTATTTTCAGAACACAATTTACTACCAATCTCTAAAGACCCTTGAAGCTCTGCCATTTTATGGTTTTATTTGTATTTCATCCAATTTCTTTTCAGGAGATGAGAAGCTTCGGTTTCAGAAATATCAGAGTCATTTTGGAGGAGAGATAAAGTTTTCCTTACCTGCACAGATTTTATGGGTGATATCTTTACAGGAACAGGCAGCATAGTGCTGCCCAGAGGGGCCACCAGGGAGCCTGACTCATTCTCCTCATACATAATACAAAGTGGTACAGGCCACAGGGAGGCACCAAGAAACTGAGCCAGCTTCTGGAGAGACACAACTTTTTTTATTGATGAATGTCTGTTCACAAACCAGGTATGTAATATGAACTTAAGGGTGAGAGGTATGAAGATAAATACGCTGTGGTTCCTGGAGTTAAGGAGTTTATTGTCTACTGGAGGAAATACGCACATGAACAGATAATTTCAATAAAATATTGTAAGTGATAAAACAGATGTAAGTAAGGATATTATGAGAGCACAGAGAAGGACCATTTAATCAATCTAGGAATTCAGAAAATATTTCTTGGCAGGGATAAAACCTGTTCGTGTCACATTTTAAGGGTGTCTTTTTGTTTGTAACAGTGTGTTCTTGTCCTTGGTCTTACAATGTCTTCACTCCATTCCTGTGTGGGAACCAGGGAAAGAACTGTTATCTCAACTGACAGATGGGCATATTAAGGCAGAGACAAAATAGATAAATGTGCATAGCTATTTAATGGTGGCAAAAGGGCAAACTTAGATGGTTTTTGTGCACTTGGGAAAAGTGTCAGTTGAATGGAGAATGGATGGGATAAAGGTGAGATTTCTAGAGAATTGTGGGCTTTGTACAAAAAGCTTAGTAAAAAGAAAAAAAGTACAGTTTTTGATAGCCTGAAATATTATAGCAGTATAATATTTCCTTCAACCAAAGCTATCTTCTATAGAAATGTATATCCTACGATTCAGAAAGACCATCTCACTTAAAATTTCAAGTTTGTGCTTGTTTCATGATTTGTGCTTTGCATATTCTGTTCCCTTTGCTTATAATTCACTTCTAGGCCAGGCATGGTGGCTCATACCTGTAATCCCAGCACTTTGGGAGACTGAGGTGGGAGCATCCCTTGAGTCCAGGAGTTTGAGACCAATCTCGGCAACATGGAGAAAACCCATCTCTACAAAAATTAGCTGGGCATGGTAGTGTGCACCTGTAGTCCCAGCTACTTAGGAGGCTGAAGCAGGAGGAGTGCTTGAGTCCAAGAGGTGGAGGCTGCAGTGAGCCGTGAATGTGCCACTGCACTCCAGCCTGGGTGACAGAGCAAGACCCTATCTCAACTAAAAAATAAAAATAAAAAGTAAAAAAAAAATGTACTTCACCACTTTTGCCTTCCTGGAATATTCTTGATCATTTTGAAGAGCACCAACACTACCCTGCTCCCAGTCCCATAAGCCCCATCAGTGCACATTCCTCGGATCTCATTCTAGGATAACTGCTTGCTCTTTAGGCCGTCTCTTTTCCCCACAGACAGTGAGGTTCATGAGAAAACAGTCTTATTCCATTTGCATTTATGTTCCTAGAACAAGTGGTAGGGACATAAATACAAATAGAATAAAATTGCTTCATCAGTGTTTAAATACATGAATAGATGAAGAAATGAATAAAAGCTAACAATTAATCTTAAAACATGGTGTCAGTGAATTGCAATTGCCTTCAACCTTAGCCCAAGGATATAGAGAGCTGGAAAAAGCAGCATTCAAGCAATGAAAAAAGGCCATGCTAACTTCAAATTCATGGCATTTTCCAAACCCATCACATAGCAGAGATCTGACACAATATGTAAGGAGAGATGGTGCCTGCAGGGAGAGAGAAGGTGTGAACATGTATTCACCTGGGACAGATACAATCGAAAGTCAATAATAAGAGTTCTGCTAGAATAGCTGACAACCTAGCATAGGCCGAGTGCGGGTTGGTGGGAAAGAGTAAACTTCTCTGTGTGGCGGGCGGTGGGAGTCACAGAAATTAGGTGAGTTCACAATATTTTCAGACTGTTCTGCATGGATTCCCCAGGTGCTCACTGAAAAGATCAAAAAGAACCCTAAGAAGAGTCTATCATGGTGCAGACCTGAGTGACAGGAACAGTGGCCACACAGGAAGGATGCTTCCCCTATATCCCCACTATGAAATAGAAGCCATTATCTGAGGGAGAAGGACAATACTATGGCCTTACAGCACAGCCCGCAATGCAGCTGAAGGAAGAAAAAAAGTGTGTAGGGGGAATCCTGTCCCTGGGGTGGAATAGAGTTAATGTGCTGATCCCCAACTGAACAGGGCAAGGGCAGAGGACAGAGAGGGCTACAGTGCTAAGACCCAGCGACTTGGGACAAACCTAAGACCAAGCTTTAATTAGAACAATAGAAATCACACCTCATCACCACTAAGCTAAGATGCTTGGAATAACAAGTAATGGAAGAATACTGCTAGAGAAAGATTAAAGAGGAAGAAGAGCTTGCAAAGAGAGCCTAAGACACACAAATAAGAACTATATCTCAGAATCATATAGATGTTCTGGTTAACCATCCCCATCCTAGACACAAATTGTCTCTAGAGAAATTTAAAGTACATGGCACACTGAGTGAAATCAAACCAAAAATAGTGGCACCTAAAACAATAGAATACATTTTCCTTTCAAGAGTAGATGGATCATTCACCAACTCGGCCTAGAACATTTCACTGGCAAATTCTAATAAACATTTAAGGAAATACTACTGTCATTATACACAACTTCTTACCCAATATAAAAGCAAAAAGAATTCTCTGTTCATTTAATAAGTCCAGGATTACCCTAATAAAAAAACTAAAAAAAAGCATTACAAGGAAACAATGCAATAGAAAAATATCTCTCATATAGAGTCAAGATAATAAAAAAGATAGAAAATTAAATCTAACAATACTTTTGAAAGGAAACTACATCTTGAAGTGGGAATTAATTATAGGAATTCAAGGCTGGTTCAACACTCAAAAATAAATCAATGGGATTCACTATATAAAAGACTAAGAAAGCAAAAGCATGTGTTTATCTCAATAGACAAAGAATAAAAAAAAGCACTCCACAAAATGCAACATCCAGTCATGAAAAAAACTCTCAACAAACTAGGAATTGAAGAGAATTACTTTAATCTAATAAAAGGCATCTACACAAAGTCTATGGCTGACAGTATACTTACTGGTGAGAATGAATGAATGCTTTATCCCTAAGATCAGGAAGAAGACAAATGTGTTCTCTCTCATCACTTTTATTCAGCATCACACTGGAAATCCATGAGGTACAATAATATAAATACAAAAAACAAAATAAAATTTAAAAAAGTCATGGAGATTAGAAATGGAGAAATAAAATATTTGCATAACCTCAAAGTATCTTCACTAAAATTAACTACAGTGGTAGTTTTAATACATGCTCACTAATTTTTGATAACCCCTTTTATTAGTTTTTTTTCTTGCTACATAGCAAATTACCACCAACTTAGCTGCTTAAAACAATAGCCACGTATTGTCTCTGAGTTATTTAGGTTTATAGTCTCCCCAGGGTCAGCTGGATTCTCAGTGTCTCACAGATTGAGGCTGATGTGTTAACTAGGCTGGGCTCCTATCTAAAAGCTGTGAGGAAAACATTGCTTTAACATTTACTAAGGTTGCTGACTGAATCCTGTTCCCTGTGGTGGTAGCACGGGTTACTTGTCTTCTTGTTGGCTACTGGGTACAGGTCACTCTGAGCTCCTAGAGGCTGCTCTCAGATCTTTCCAAGCACCTCCTCCACCTCATACATAAAAAGCCTCCCTTGTATCAACCTTCTCTCACATTTTAAACCTTTCATTCTGCTCCCTCCCCACAAAGCCCAAGAAATCACCCTGCTTTTAATGAGCTGAGTATGACTGAAGAATATAACCACTAGTAAGAAATGCTGGACCTAGAGTAGACATGGCAAACTTCTGAACTGTGAAATTTTGGGATATTTGGGAAATATTTTATCAATTAATCCAGTAAGTGTATAATTAGAACCCATTATGCACATAATTTTGTGCTGTCTCACAGCAGTTTGAGAAGCATGCACTCTGCCTTTTATCCTTTCCATTCCTCGTGTCCTCCCAATATAAGCCCTAATATCACCAAAGTACTACCCGCCCAACTTTCTCATCATGCCCCCTGAAGGAACCCTACTTCACTCAATTCCTAATATGGCATGATGGGCTTTTATGTCAGTAGTTTTCTTTACTAACCATTTTTTAGGACACCTCAAGGTAGTCAGGAAGTAATAAAATCACATTGTTTTTCTTCTCCTATTTTGGTGCTTCTGAATAGGTAGCTGAACTCAAAACAAGCCAATAGTGATGAGCATATAAGAATCCTTGTTGCAGGGGAACCACAGAGGACATGGCGCCAAGGAAGCTGTAGGCTTCAGGCAAGCCTTTCTCCTCTTGGACCTGAGGCTGGATGGTAGATGCTGAAGGAGGCAATGTGCCTCAGGGACCACCAGCACTAGGACAGACATAAGCTGTTGACTTCAGCCCTTCTATAGGCGATATGACACTATAGAATGATTTTTGACTTTGGGAGAAAGTATTGCATGCTACATGTTTTAAGACTGTAAATGTGGGATACAGTATGGTCAGCACACCCACAGGAGAAACAAAAATGAGGCTTGGAAGGAAGAAATTTGAACACTCACGGGTCCCAGATTGAGGGTCACTGCATGTTGCTCAAGGGCACTGGGGAAAGCACCAGTGTGGTCAGGAGGCAGCAGTCAGGAATGAGGGGAGCGCTTACACCACAGTCTTTACTGGGTTTTCCTCAGCAAAGGAAGACAGGGTAGAGTTAACAGTTTAGGACTGTCTGGTTTAAATAATTCTCAGGGCTCTAAGCTAAAGGGGTGGTCTTTAGTTGCCTGTTGCCTTGGTTTGGAATGATGAAGGCAGAGGAGTATTGCTTCTTGGGGTGTGTGGGCCAGAGGCTGGGCCTCTTGTCATCCCTAGGTATTGTCTAGTATTTTCCCAGACTGAAAAGTTTTTTAAGATGTCAGGACATCATCATATACAGTATATATATACAAATTTAATAATTTATATAATATTCTGAGATTATTCTTAAAAAGTTGTATAGCATATTAAAGAAACACAAATCATAGAAATTATTGACATGATAATTAAAATAGCTATGGATGCCTGGATTTCAGACTGCATTACATGTATATTGCAGTCATCTAAGGAATATGTAAAGTCTAGAAAACCCAACACCAATAGACACTAATTAGAATAGCAACTATCTTAAATGAATGCTTATTATGTGGTTTGCATTGGGTTAAGCACTTAATGTATATTCTTCTCATTTAGTCATTAAACAACATACATTTATTTATCCCCAACATAGTAGTGAGGAAGCCATGACTTAGGAAAGCTCATTATGGTGCCCAAAGCTATGCATTTGGTACATGGCCAAGCCAATATTCATAACCAGATCTGTTTAGCACCAGAGCTTTTGCACAAAAAGGAAATAAAACAAAATCCAAGACACACACATACAAAAGTTTCAGTAGCAATGTTGAAGCATCAATCAGGCAGCTTAATTTCTGCAGACCTATTATCAAAAAAGTGCAATGAGTGATTTCTATTAATACTTAAGCAACTCATGAAAGAATTTTAGTGCTAGGAAATTGCACATTCACTTTGAGCCAAATCTGGCCTTTATTAGGAGAATGTGCAATCAGAAAAGTCAAAAATCTCCTCCAAAAACAAGTTTAGTCTTCACCTTTTGAATGAAGACCCTGAAGAAGAGAACATGTCACAGTCTTACTGTTTACATTTCTTCAAATGAATGCCCTGCATTTTTCTGTAGTGTGACAAAGTCATGAAAGTAGAATGTTATGATTTCAGTTAGGAAGTGAATGATATCTCTGCTGTCTGCTTTCCTTCCTGTCCATCCTTTTGGATTCAAATTAAACAATCCTGTGTCTAAAACCCAAATGTATGAAAACAATGGTCAAAGTGAGTGAAACTTCCTAATGCTGAAAATATCACAAAGGAAAGGAAATAGAGAAAGCAATGAATGCAGACACAACATAAAAGATCATCCAGCCTGATACAGCTGTGTCATCTTCAGGTGGACACTGGAACAGATGAAACATTTGAGTGATAAGAGCAGAGAAGGAGGATATCCTGATGGATGAGTGTGAAGGCTGGAAATTTCCACCAAGGAAATGAGAAGATGTTATATTCCCTCTTTTGGGACTTCTCTTTGACCTCACTCTCTCTGACTTCCAACAGTGTGGTCTATTTGGTTTTCAGAGCTATTTGTTGATGGTGGAGCTGAAATAGAACTTGCTCTAGAGTTGGAAGGAAACAGGAAACAAAGGTCAGTGTACTGTCTCTTTCCCTAAACTTGTTTGGATCTGAGTCCAATGGCAGCTGAGCACTGGACCACAGAGAAAAGCTTTGACAGGACAGAGAGTTCCTTGGGAAAGTAACAATTTTAAAGATTTTTTTTAGCAGAAGGTGTGACGTACTTTATAGCTTTAGCAAATTACATATATATGTGTGTATGTGTGTGTAAATATGGATGTGCATATATATGCATACATACATAATATCACTTTATATTTGTTTTTCATTGATTAAAATCTTCAGTGTATTTCAGTGGAGGTCATGTATTATCCTATATAATTACACAATTTATACATATATTGAAACATCATACTGTACCCCTAGAAATATATGCAATTATTTTAAAATAAATAATGCCAGGACTCTAATAATTATATCTACCCTGAATGTATTAAGAAAGAAAACCAAAAAAATAGTTTGACTAACTGTAAGTTTAACCACAAATAAATCATAATATTGAGATCTGAACACTTAACATTAATGTCATGAAAGGTGCTATGAATGTCCATTATTGCACACTAGTGGACTGCAAGCTCTTGAAAGTTCTGAATTTCACTCACACCATATTAATAATTACACTCCCATAACTCAGAGAACCACATCAAATTCTTTGGATGATAATGGTGCTGGCTACATCACTGAAAAAGGCCTTTGATAAAGAACTGTTATAGATCCTAGAGACTCATTAGGCTTAAAAAAAATTTTGCTTTTTCTCACAAGACATTTATGCTCAAAGCTAATGTGTTTGTGGATCACACCACAAGTTTATTCTTAATGAACATTTTCTCTCATTTCCTTTACCACCTATCCTGCTCCACTTTTCACCTGAGCCAAGGGGCTAAACACACACTAATGAACACCCCCTACGTTTGTCTTTAAAAACATCAAATTGATGAGCAGACACCCCAAATCCTTCATTAAATGGGTCATAAACTGAAAGAGCTCTTTGATTATAATAAGATGGAAGATTTATTAACAAACATGTATTCAGCTAAATCATAGTATTGGCAGTTT
This sequence comes from Homo sapiens, assembly GCF_000001405.40. Lineage (NCBI taxonomy): Eukaryota > Metazoa > Chordata > Mammalia > Primates > Hominidae > Homo > Homo sapiens. The sequence continues at coordinate 18,780,691 of NC_000002.12, read as the reverse complement.
TATGAGATTGTCTCTCCCCAGCAGACAGGTGGGGCCTGCAGGCTCCTGTGGCAACAAAAACACTGAGTCCGTTAGTGTAATACAGAATGATCTAATTACCGCCCAGCCAAGGGCTGCATGGGGGCTACAAGTTCAGAAAGTTTATTTGGGTTTGCTAGGTCCTGAATCTGAAAAGTTTACATGTACCACACTTTAAGGAACAAAACAAAAATATGTTAAATACAATGAAATAAACTATGATCTAACAGAAGGTATGTGGTCAAGTGACTTTACTAAAAACAGTAAGAATGAAAGAAGGAAGGAAGGAGAGGAGGGGAAGGAAGAAAAAAATCTTAGAAAATGCCAAGTCACTTGCAGGAAGTTTCTATTCTCCATGATTCTCTAGTAAAGATTCCTTAGACAATTGTTTAATGTGTAATGATTATTAGAAATGTGAAATGTAGAATATATTTGCCAAGTAATGTGCAAAAGTCATACTATATGATAAAAAAAGCACATAAAAATACTAAATTGCTAATAAGTGACATATTATTAGCTAGTTAAAAATTAAACATCTGTATATATCTTGAAAAAATTATACGTAAAAGTTATATTTATAATATTATATATCATTTGACTAAATGGGCAACTGGGCAGTTTCTGATAATTTTAGAGATTTAACATAGTGACATGCATCAATAGGGAGGTATACTCCCAAAATATAATGCCTAAAAAATCCTCTGAAAATATTTATCAAATTATCAACAGTATTGTAACACTACCAAAAATGCTGAGTTACTTTTTTTTTTTTTTTTTTTGACACGGAGTCTTGCTCTGTCGCCCAGGCTGGAGTGCAGTGGTGCAATCTCCGCTCACTGCAAGCTCCACCTCCCAGGTTCATGCCATCCTCCTGCCTCATGCTGAGTTACTTTTTATAGTAAAACATAATAACTATTGTGAACAATTACAGTAGCTCGTTTTCAATGGATTCATTTTCCTACAAGACATATTTTCCTTGAAGTGATTTTTGTAATCCAGAGTTATATTTTCTGTCCTAGTATACTTTCAAGTATACACTCCTTTTCATATTTGATATTTATTGACTATGCCTAAATACAGACAAATTCTCTAAACTAATAATTATAAGTGAAATTTATAATAAATGCCTTAGTTTAAAATGTGGCTTAAGCTAAAACATTTGGTACTTAAAGAAAATTTATATATTTCTTTGTAGATGTGAAAGTTGAAGAGTGATAGTAGCATAAAGAAGATTATGTTCTTAATGCTGCATTTAGTGAATATTGAATGGGGAAAAATTCTTAGACCCTTAGGACTGGAAAGGTCTATTCATAGGTTTTACTCTAACCCTCTTCCTATAGAAGTAGTTAGAAAAATTCAGATAATTTCCTCGAACATAGTTTCTATAAATGTAATATTTATTTTCCATCATATGTAAACAGGTGTGAAACCACAAAAGCCTCTGAGGGAAGTATCAGTCTTCTGATGTTAATAAAGATCTCTCTCATCATAAACTTGAAGAGAAAAGTATGGAGCTAAAGTAGTACTTGACATCAAATAATAGAAGAATATTCTTTGGAGTATGTTCGTGTAGCAAAAGAAAAAAAATCATTTTCAAGTATACAAATAATCATAATAGCTTTCATAGTTTGAGTACTAGTCACTACACCAAGCAGTGTAGTACAGTATCACATGCTTAAAGAATACGTAACAATACTAATCTTAAAACAAAATGCATTTAACTAGCCATTTCAACATTTGGATAAATTAGGATTATCAGAAGAAAATACTTTCTCGCATATATATATTCATTTTCATGGGGGCTTGATGAAGACAGTAGATGTACTTTATACCCTGCTTAAATCCCATTTTATCATTAAAACAGCAACAATAATAGTAATTACATTGATATTACAGACTTGCTGTGAGTAAAAAACAAGAGAACACAGCTTCTAAGCTGCTAATGATAAATAAGTTACTGATGGTTGTTACTGTTATGGCCCATGAGGGGCCATAATTGGGGGAGGGACCATTCACTGGGGGATGTTGGATAGACTAATTCAGGGCAGATTATTCTAGTCTTTGAAAATGGCAGACAGAAGCATATTCTGTGGGGCACTAGGGAGCCACTGAAAGGTTTTAGATAGGAACGTGTCAAGTTTAGAACTGAATTTCAGAAAGCTCATCCCAGTAATAGAATGAATTGGAAAATAATTACCATTAATCAGTAAATGATAAGGACTAATGGTGGTGATTTTTCTCAGTATTAATGCATTGAACCATGAAAATACGGTCACTAGATCATCTACTCATCTCTAATACGTCTAGCATGCCATAATTTGATAGTGCAATGGCCTCACAATACTTGTCACTTTATGAAGTGCCTGTACAGATGGTAAAGACGTGTTAAGGATGTTTTGCGCAAATCGTTTGTAGGATATACGACTTTAAAGCAAGACTACTGAATTCCTAATAAATAAGCCTTCTATTTCTAAATTAATGTAAAAAGCAATCCCTCTCAGATTCTACGTTTATTCTACTTTGGAAAGTGTCATGAAAACTAGCTTGCTTGCAAATCATTCAGATAAATCTGAATTCTCTCTCTCTCTTTTTAAATTGTGTTTCTTTTTAAATTGTGTTTCTTTTTGCAGAGAATGATTATCTGGCAATGATTATCATCGTACCCACTAACCTGGGTTCCTCGGGACTCAAAGTGCCTCTGAAAGCCAACTTCAAGCTCCAAGTTGAAAATATTGCCCTTTTTGAAAACATTTTAAAAATTCTGAAGGCATCTCTAACAGGATATATCTAAAAATGTTTGGTACAACAGCAACCTGGTTTGAAGATGTGCCAGCTGTTAATTGTTCTAGTTGAATCTCTCACTGGCCTAAAAAGAGGGAGCCTTGTTAGGCTTTGTTTCTCTGGCTTGACTTTTAAGTCCCTAAACTAGCTAGAGTCCTATTAAGCCAATTAACACAGCTGGGGGCCACTTAACAGCCTATCCTCTTATTCAGGACTTACATCCCCTATTTGACCTTACAACAACTACCATCCTCCATCAAATGCTTGATTCCAACAATTCAGACATAGGGACACCGATAAGGGAGAAGAAAGGTTTTCATTTCTGAAAGCAAGATGCCTGAGTCAATTTGTCCCAATTGTATCTGCACAAGGCCTATTATATGGACTGTGATTTGGAGGGATGAAAGCTGTGAACTCCCAGGTCACTTGTAAACCGATCACTCCCCAGCCTCTCCTCCTCCTGCTTTTAAGTGGTTTGAGGCTGGTAAATTGAAACCTGAAGAAACACAGAGCTCTGATCCCTGGGACCTCCAGAGCAAACCTGGACTTTGGCTGATTTGCTGTAGGAAGTAACTGCTTACTTACCCCATAATTAACACCACAAGCTGATCTTTGGAAGATAAAGTACAGAAGGTCAGACATAAGATCATCTAGAGAAGGATTTCACTAAAGCACTACTTTTAGCAGCTCTTGTGGCTACTTCATTCATGAAACAATGGGCTATAATTTCTAAAAATATTACTGTTCATAGAAATGAAAGAAAGAGTGAATTACACATCACTGAATATGACCTCAGTCAACTCCCCCTTGATTAATGAAGCCATAGCAAATGTCAACTCAATACTGTATTGAGATGTAAAACATTCAGTTTGCTCAGTGGCAAGTTAACTTAAACAATTTTAACTACCTTTTACAATTCTATATGCAAATTGATTTTTGTTCCCTGGTTAGAAATATTTACTGGCTTATCATTCCCCATCAAATAAAGTCTGAACCCCTTCTGAGCCTGCAGTCCTTAGGGACCTGGCTTCCTAACCATCTTTTTTGTAGCTGCCTCACTGTCATCCTCTCAGCCATATTCACCCCTTACAGTACAATGAATGCAGCTGAGTGTCACATCTCCACACTTCTCCATAGACTCTTCCTTTATTTACTGCCCTGTCTATAAGGCAAATTACTTCTCTTCCTCAAGATCCAGCTTAAGAGTTACTTTTGGGCAAAAACTTCTGTGTCTGTATCTGCATCATCATCCTTCTCTGTGAGTACTGTGGCTTGTACATATTGCATTCCTGTAACGGGAAATATTACACTATCCTGTAATTTGTGCCTCTATGAATATCAAATTCTGGGAATTGAATAAAGAGATAACATTATAGAAGAAATTATGTTCTAGTATCTTTGCTTCTCAAATAATCTGAAGTCAAGATCTATCTTCACCCATATTAACCTGTATCTAAGAATCAATGAAATTGGAGGCAGATAAGTTTCTTAATGGAGTAAAGACCACTAGGGTTCAATGAAATCCCATTCAATGATATTACTATTCATTCTTACCTAGTTTCTAAGTTAAAATCTCTTACCTGGGAATAAAGAGGCTTAAATTTCAGCTGTGACTCTCTCTGAACTGTTTCAAAATTCCTCTCTCCCTCTTTAACATTATCTTGTTTGTAGAATGTAGGAGTTAGATAGAATGTCTCTGAGGGTACTTTTCTACTACAAAATTTTATAATCCTAAAAATGTCCAGGTAGACCGAGTAACTGTAATATATATTTATGAAGTCTACACTCTGGGAGTATAGACAATTGAACTCATTAGCTTAATTATTGTAACTCCAGTGCTAATACAGTCAAAGTTTATGGCCCATCTGGGCAAGTTAGCTTGAACAAGGCAAAATGTTGGCTTCCTCAGACACCAACTGTACCCTTATCTCAACTGTCTCAAACTGTATTCTACTGGTCACAGAGGAGCCCAAGAGTGAGACTGTTCAGACCATATTCACTAAAACTGTTAAGAAGTCATATATAGCATGTATATGGTGCTGACCCCAGGTCAACAGCATCACTCTCATACACAAAGATTTAGTCCCTCTCACCCAATGCTTCTATGTTTGGACATCTATTACAAGGCAACAATATCCAAAATTTGACAAAACTTGACACCCAACAAAATTCTTTATAGCATTATAATATTAATAATAGAAAATAACCTAAATGTCCAAAAAAGGACATTGAAAGATTAATACATCAGGTATAGAAATGTGATGAAATATTACCAAGCCATTAAAATTATTAAAATCAGGATAAAAATCATAGAAACATAAATGTTAGGTTAGAAAAAAAGAATAAAATTGTCTTAGTGTGCCAATGAAAAGAGTCAAACTGTAAAATATTTGAAGAGATTTATTCTGAGCCAAATGTGAGTGACCAATGACCCATGACACAGCCCTCATGTGATCCTGAGAACATGTGCCCAAGGTGGTTTGGGTGTAGCCCACTTTTATACATGTTAGAGACATGAGACATCAATCAATATATGTAAGATATACATTGGTTAGCATTGGTCCAGTCCAGGAAGGCAGGGCAACATGAAGCAGGGTGGTAACAGGTGGGGGGCACTTTCAGGTTATAGGTAGCTTTAAAGATTTTTTGATTGGCAATTATTTGGAAGAGCTATTATCAATAGAAAGGAATGTCTGTGTTATGATAGGGGGTTGTAGAATCCAAGGTTTTATCATGCACATCAAGCCTCCAGGTAGCAGGCTTCAGAGAGACTAGATTATAAATATTTCTTATCAGACTTAAAGAGCTTGTTCTATCAGTAATCCTAAAAGGGAGAAGGGGATAATGAGGCATTTCCAGCTCTCCCTTAGCATCATGGCCTGAACTAGGTTTTCAGGTTAACTTCTGAATCACCTTGGCCAAAAGGAGGGGTCTACTTAGATGGCTGGAGGCCTTAGAATTTTATTTTTGGTTTACAAGAGAATGGTCACATGAACATGCAGAGAAAATATAAATGGAGACCTACAGTAAACTACTATATGTTATATCATTATAATAAAGCCCGGGGTGACTTTTGAAATCTTCTACCTAATTTTCAATATTTTCAAATGTTATATAAAAATATGTATTAATTTGATGATCAGAAAGAATGTGTTTTAATTAATTGGCAGCATTTATAAAGCTAAATTTATAATTTAGCAAATCAGTACTTTTTCAAATGGATTAAATATACCACCAGTCAAATATGAAAAACATTACATTTATGCAACAAACTGTAAAAAACAACTAATCAGGAAATCTAAATGCAATTTCTTTGATTGAATACACAAGCATGATAATGTTTAAATAGGCTAGAGAAACATTTTTTTTTTTTTTTTTCTGAGACAGAGTTTCACTCTTGTTGCCCAGGCTGGAGTGCAATGGCACCATCTCGGCTCACTGCAACCTCCACCTCCTGGATTCAAGCGATTCTCGAACTGCCTCAGGCCAGCCTCCTGAGTAGGTCGGATTACAGGCATGTTCCACCATGCCCAGCTGATTTTGTATTTTTAGTAGAAACAAGGTTTCTCCATGTTCATCAGGCTGGTCTTGAACTCCCAACTTCAGGTGATCCGCCCACCTCAGCCTCCCAAAGTGCTGAGATTACAGGCGTGAGCCACCGTGCCTGGCTGAGAAAACATTTTAAAACAAGTCTCAGAATGTTTCTTCATGTGCAATGTAAATTCATTTACAACCAAGAATCCGTGTTTCAAGTTTTTCTTTTTTTTTTTTTTTTTGAGATGGAGTCTTGTTCTGTCACCCAGGCTGGAGTGCAGTGGTGCAATCTCTGCTCACTGCAGCCTCCACCTCCCGGGTTCAAGCAATTCTCCTGCCTCAGCCTCCTGAGTAGCTGGGACTACAGGTTTGCGCTGCCATACCTGGCTAATTTTTGTATTTTTAGTAGAGACGGGGTTTCACCGTGTTGGTCAGGATGTTCTTGATCTACTGACCTCATGATCCGCCCGAGATCTCCTGACGCTGTGATCCTCCCAAAGTGCTGAGATTACAGGTGCCCAGCCCATGTATCAAGTATTAAAAACTTGTGATATATATTTATACTACAAATAGAAAACACTTCCAAAAGAATTGAACTTAAAATGATTTAGATAATCAAATATGCATGCAAGTCACTGTCTAGTGATGTAACTTGGTACAAATCCCTTCCTCTTTGAACTTCAGTTTTTAACTCATCAAAATCAGGGCCTCACTCAGGATATTCACTAAGTTTCCATCTACCTCTAAATTGCTGGTTTTCTAAGGGCTGTCATGCACTGGTTGAGGTGGTAGAGTAATAGGAGGTTTAGGAATATGTCCAGGAATGAAATTTAGCTTTCAAGCAGGTCCAAACAGAAAAGGATCTGAATAAAGAGAAAAGTGAGGGTCATGAGGAAGGAAGGGAGGAAAGGACAGAGGAAAAGAGAAAGACAAGAGAGAATGTTTTATAAGATGAAAGCGTTTAGTAAAATATCTCTCACGGAAGTTCCAGAATGAGAAAGTATGTAAGATTCAAGTTATGGAAACCTGAAGTGCTACAAAGTTCCATATCCATTCCCACTTTGTGGCATCTCCAAAAATGTCATTTTACCTCCCATTGGCAGCATCAGATCTTAAGGCCATGACATTATTCATGAAATTGAAAAAAATAAGGAACCCTAAATGAACAATGTATAGAGAATGAATAAATATTTCATTCAGTACAGATAAAAGATAATATTCAAACAATATTTGAGCCCTATCTCTGAGTTCACATGTCTCCCTGCGTGATCTCAAACTGAGGTTCCCACAGGAACCTCAAACTCAGCATTACCAAGCTGAAACTCATCTTCATGATACACCTACTTCTTCTCCCAGAATGTTTTGCTTCAATGGTACCTCTTTTTGCCTAGGCTCCAAAGCCACTACGGAATCATCCCACAGTCTCCTTCTAACTTATCTCTATAGTCTTATAAATACTGAGTGTATTAATTAACCCCTAAATATCTCTAGACTCAAATTCTTACTAGTCCCCTTCAAGTGTAGCATTTACCCGCAGGTTTTTAAGTGGTGTTCCCTCCAATATCACCTCTCTACCATCTACCTGCCCCACTGCTACTAGGTATCTTTCTAAAATGAGACTCTGACAACATAATCTCATATCTTTAAGTCCTTGAATAATTCTCCTTTATTTTATTCCCTTTAAAATAAACCAAACTCCTTAGAATGACATTAAAGGGTGATCAGAATATGGCTGTCTTTCCTGGCCTCTGTGTTATGAGTGAACCAAGGCCTTCTGCACTGGTGTCTCAGCATGTGTGCTTCTCTTCATTCTTTATTTTGAGATGGAGTCTCCCTCTATTGCCCAGGCTGGAGTGCAGTGGTGTGATCTAGGCTCACTGCAACCTCCACTTCTTGGGTTCAAGCAATACTTCTGCCTCAGCCTCCTGAGTAGCTCGGATTACAGGTGCGTGCCACCATGCCTGGCTAATTTTTGTATTTTCAGTAGAGACTGGGTGTCACCTTATTGGCCCAGCTGGTCTCGAATTTCTGACCTCATGATCTACCCACCCACACCTCAGCCTCCCAAAGTGCTGGGATTACAGGCGTGAGCCACCGCGCCCAGCCTCTCTTCATTCTTTAACTTCTACTTCAGAAATCACCTTCTCTGAGAAACTTTTTCTGACTCCACCAGATAGGATGTTTCTTTCCTGCATGCCCAAATGGCATTTAATGCTTTTCTACACTTATATTTCTCTAGCACTGATCACACTGTATTGTGATTATTTGTGTTCATGTGTGTCCTGTCACTGAAATGTAAGATCCTTGTGAACATGGATCTGAGTTGTGGAAGTCTTTGTAAACCCCAAATGTGTTCATTTTGTAAATAATCAGTAAATACTTGCTAAATGAATTAAGGGAATAACATCCTTTAAGGATATATAGATATAAAAGTTAGCAGTTAGAAATCCATGAGTAATGACATGTGTTGTTATTTCAATAGTTATATTTTGATCTTAAAAGATTGATTATGCCACGTATGCTGCTCCATTTCCTGGGGTCATCTCTGACTCCATTTCTTCAGTCAAGTTCAGTCAATCGTATCATGCAAGAAAACTTTGATATCACAAATCATTTGACGGTATCCAGTAAACTTTGCGATCTTGACATAGATTTATTTAATCAAGATTTGAATAAAGGGGAAATAAACATAGTGAAACACCCCTAGGTGTTTTCTTTGACTCTATTCTCCTTTCTTTATTGTTTTAGCCATTACTTCTATGTAAGAAATACTGGATATCAGTCTTTCCTTCTGTCACAATTCCCAGAATATTCTTTCCACTCTTCTGGAAGTATCTACCTGTCTCTACCATACAGAACCCAAAGTTAACACTGCTATATAGTACCATTATTTCCTGTGTCAACTAACTCTTCCTGTTGTATGTCTTATCTCTGTGAATGGCATTCCAGTTCACCTAGTCACTAAGAGTGTGCCAACCTTCTGTTTTAGTTTCTCTATCTTCCTTACTTCATGCTTACTAGGTAATTATTTAGTCATAGAATCTTTTTGTCACTATTCAAAATGTGTATCCCAGTCGTCTGCTCAGCTCTCCCTGTGTTGCCATCACTGGTTGAGGCCTTAATTTCACCTGGACTGCTTTGAGAACAATCTACGGGTTACACTGCTTCTTTCCCATCCTCCCATCTGTTTCTCAAACACCATCAACCCTTCCTTATGCTCGTATCAGATACTAAAATCTAGTACAATGTTGTCCAATAGAAATTACTGCACTGAGGCCGGGCGCGGTGTCTCATGCCTGTAATCCCAGCACTTTGGGAGGCCGAGGCAGGTGGATCATGAGGTCAGGAGATTGAGACCATCCTGGCTAACACGGTGAAACCCCGTCTCTACTAAAAATACAAAAAATCAGCCGGATGTGGTGGTGGGCGCCTGTAGTCCCAGTTACTTGGGAGGCTGAGGCAGGAGAATGGTGTGAACCTGGAAGGCAGAGCTTGCATTGAGCCGAGATTGCGCCACTGCACTCCAGCCTGGGTGGCAGAGCGAGACTCCATCTCAAAAAAAAAAAAAAAAAAAAAAAGATAGAAATTACTGCACTGATAGAAATGTTCTGTACTAATATGAGGTTCAAGGCACACATTGAACACTTGAAACGTAGTTATTTCAAATTGCAACTGGTGTAACTGAAGAACTGAATTTTAATTTTATTTTAATGTATTTAATTACAAATGAAACTACATGTGATTAGTGGCTACCATATTGAACAGCACAGATCTAGATCTAATCAGCCACTCTCTGATTCTATAATATTCAGTAATTCAATCGTATCCTAATGGTGAGAATGACATAAACTGAAAACTTATCAACTTGCCAACTTAAGATTCTTCAGGATCTGGTTCAACTTAAATGTCCATTCTGGTTTCCTGCTGTATCTTATCATGGACCCTATGATACAAACATAATGGGATGCTCATAATTTAAAAAAAATAACTTATATTTCCCCTGTGGGCCTTTGTTCTTCCTTTTGCTTGAAAGCTACAGGTTATTATTTTCATCTCCCAAAAGCTTGTCTATTCTTTAAGGCCCCAGAGGATAAAAAGTGCCATCTCCTCAATGAGCATCTTCCTCAACTGAGGGACTGCATGGACCCACGATACATTGTACCAGTGATACGGTTTGCCTTATACTTGTGCTGATTTTGCTTATTTCTTACTACAATTTTCTCCATTGGATTAGAAGGTCCTAAACTTGGTGTTTTTGCTGATTGAATTTGTAAATACATGACATCCCCTGTGATGCCTGGTTTCGAATATTTATAAACATTTATTGAATTTTATGACTTTGTAGGACAAGGAATATTTTCCTTGATAATCTTACTCCTTGGGCCTTTAGAAAAATTACACCAACATGGAATTTGTTTTAGGCAACTAAAACTGGGAACATTCACACACTGTGAAATTCAAGATACATTTTATGTCAAGAACCATAAAATGAGCAAAGCTCATAATCCTTTTGTACTTAAAACTTAAGTAGAAATTCATCAGTACTGTGCTTGTATCTCTGAAGAGAAGGAGTATCTCTAAGCTGGAAGTGAACGTGTACAAAGAATTCACTCCACAATATTATTTAATACCTGCTGTACGATCATTCCTGGGCTAGGTGTTCTAAGGCCAAAATGGAATGAGAAACACTTTCTAATTGAGGTGCTTAAAACTAAGCTGGATACATATGGCATGCACATATTAAAGACCAGCACAGAACAGTCTGGTTTAAATGGTGCTGATGCTCCGGTGAATGGGAAATCTTATTAACTTTCCTGGTCTCTGACCATCAGGAATTGGCCATGAATGACAAATTTGGATACTTTGGCCAAAAAGACAGAGGTTATAAACAAAGACTAAAATATATGAACAATAACAGAAGATAAGTGAACCAACTTGCATGAAGTGAAGGTGTTATGAAATATAAATATTGCAGATACTAGGAAAGAATTCACAGACCAAATTATGCAGGGCCTTGGCTCTTAGAATAAATAATGTAGACTCAGGCAGTGGGGAGCCTATGAAAGTAGGTGAGTAAAAGAGAAATAAAAAAATATAAAAGCACACAGAAGTGATTTCCCCCATTTAGCTTTAACTTTAAAATTAGGTCTCTCAGGACAGAGAGAATACAGTTAGGGAGCTCAATGAACCTGTCTTCCAGAAAAAAAAATTAACTGGTGGAAATTTAAAAACTATATATTGAAAGTCTCCAGAAATTGTTCCAAGGCCATACAGGAAATGGAGAGGCATTCAAGCAAGAAATTGTACCAACTTTCAGTAAGAATATGGAGAGTCTGTGGCATTTAGCTACAATCCACACCATTATTGCCCCGCCCTGCCAAACACACACCAGCTTGGTAGTATAGAAGCCCCATAGCTCAGGGCTTCGATAAGTACTGGTCTGTGGTTTCACCCCAGGAGGGGAAGGATGCTGGCATTTCTAATTCCCCAAGATCTCTGTGGTAGAAACGCTACTCCAGGACCAGGAGGCCAAGAATAATGGGCCCCCAAATGCCCTTGTCTCAGTTAGTTCATAGGATAAAAGTTCTACATCAGGAGGAGCTAGTACAGGAGACTATGATCTTCCTACTCATTCACCTACTTTATACTTACTTGTAGAGTTGGGGAACTTCAGGAAAAAAATGCATCCCATTCCCATCTTCAGTACAATGACTAACATGACAAGCTCTAGAGCTCTTTTCCTTTACGGTCTACTTCCTCTCTGGGTAGAAATACCACTATATTGAAGATCCACCCAGACACATCATAACAGAAGTTGAAAGCAAAGCAAGAGAAAATATTGAAAGTGGCAAGAACAAAAAAGGGCTTAGTACATATAAGGGAACCACAATAAGATTAATAGCTAAAATATCAGAAACAAAGTAGCCAGAAGGTAGGGGGAAAAATGTTGAAAGTTAAAATGTCAACCAAGAATCTTATATTCAGTAAAACTATCATTGAAAAACGAAGACAAAATAAAGATATTCCCAGGTAAACAAAAATTGAACGAATTTTTTGCTAGCAGACTTTTAATATGTAAAATACTAAAAGAAGTTCTTCAGGCTAAAAGCAGGAGATACCAGTTGGTAATTTTAATACATATGAAAAAGAAATATTAGTAGTGATAGTTTTGTAAAAAAAAAATAGTATAATTGCATATTTCTTCTCCTTTCTTCTCCTGACTGATTTAAAAAGCATAAGTCAACATGTAAATAATTTATATCATTGGGGCCAAAATACATAGAAATGTACTTATGTGACAATAATTAGTTATATTGACGTACAAAAATGACAACAGTTGGTAACTCAAACCCACAGAAAAAACTGCAAAGAACCAGGAAGGGTTGATAAGATAGTCAATTTAACAAACATTATACATATATATTTGCTATCCTTTCTTTGCTCAGATTATTTAAAGGATATAATAGTAATAACTATAACAATATATTTTAGATTTATAATATGTATCAACACGAGATACATGAAAGTAAAAGTTTTAAAAGGTAGGGAGAAAGTGGTGCTGTACTAGAGTACAGAATCTAAGAAGTTAAGATGCATATGGTAAACCTGAGATTAATCGCTAAGAAAATAACTAAAAAATATAATTAAACATCACTAAAGCAATTAAAATGTTACATTACATATAGGAGGAAAAAGCAAAATGGCACATGTAAATCCAGTCATATCAATAATTTGGACCCCAACCTCAAATCATATATAAACCAGCCCAAAATAAATTATATACCTAAGTATCAGTTACAACTATAAAATTATTATAATAAAGGAAATGATTCTATGTGAACTTGGGTTAAGGAAAGATTTCTTAAATATGAAACCACAGCAAAAGTGACAATGAAAATATAGACAAATTGGGCTACATAAATTTAAAATCTTTACAGTGCAAACTATGTCATAAAGAAAATGAAAAGACAACCCACAGAATAGGAGAAGATATTTTCAAATCTTATATATGACAATGAATTTGTATTCAGAATATACAAAAATGTCTTAAAACTCATTTATAAAAAGACAGATAACATATTTTTTAAATGGGAAAGAATTTGAATGGAAAATTCTCCAAAGACAATATAGAAATGGCCAATAAGCTTATGAAAAGATGCCCAACATCATTAGTTATTGGGTAAATACAAATCAAAACTGTAATGGGATATCACTTCCCATCCACTTGGATGGGTATAATAAAAAAGCCAGATGATGACAAGTATTGACAATGATGTGGAAAAAATGGAGCCCTCCTACATTGCCGACAAGAATGTAAAATGTTTGAGCCATGTTGATAAAGAGTTTGGCCCTAGCAAGTTAAACATAAAGTTATCATATGACCCAGAAATTCTACTTTTAGGTATATATCCAGGACAAATGAAAACATACAACTACATAAAAACTTGTATATGAATGTTCATAGCAACTTTACTTATATTAGCTAAAGAGTGGAAACAACCCAAAGGTCCCTCAACTGATGAATGGATAAAGAAAATGAGATATATCCATACAAAGGAATATTGTTTGACCATAAAATAAAATATTTTTACATAGTACAACATGGATGAATAAATGAAATAAACTAGTCAGACAAAAAACATATTGTTTGATTCCATTTATATAATATAATCAGAATAGAAAAATTTGTAGAGACAGAAAACAGATTAGCAGTTGCTTAGATCAGGAGCAGTAAGAACATGAAGTCAGGAATCAATGATATGAAGCCTCTTCTCCTGTGCTTATGGATCATTTTTATATCTTATTTGGAGAAATATCTATTCAGATCATTTGCTCATGTTTATCTGGTTTTCTTTTTTACTATTGAGTTCTGAGTGATCTTTTTATATTCCAGGTATAAGTCTCTTATTAGATATGTGATCCACAAAAATTTTTTTTCCAGTTTTGTGGATATCTTTTCATGTTCTTGATGTATTTTGAAACACAACATTTTTAACTTTGATGAAATTCAACATATCTCTTTTTTATTTTGTTGCTTGTGATTTTGGTGTTAAGCATTTATCCTTCTTAAAAAGAAAAGCAAGCATCTGGCTCTACGTGTCCCTTCTGTTTATAGAAATAATGCTGAAATATTAGTCTGACTCCAGCTGGATCCCAATGGAGACAGTGGTGCTATGGGGAGAGTACATCATTCTCTTTATGGAACTAATAGGTTTCTTGTCAGTAGGTCATGATTTAGTGAGTACCTCTCTAGTGCTGGGGAGAAAACAGCATTTTGGTAACATGGGGTAAAGAAAATTTTGCCCCAACGACAGCTTGACAGCTAGGAATGTGACTGTCACTTAGAGATTTATAATTTTAATCTTTTCATGACCCTCTATGAGCAAAATAATTCATTTGTTCTTTCCAGGACAGGGGTCCTGCCCACTCTCTCTCTTTCTTTCAAAACAAGATTCCCAATAGATAAAGCAAGACAGACCCTCCTTCTTTTTGACTTTCATGTGTCAGTCTCCTCTGTTCTCTAGTTCTCCACATTTAAGACCAAGTATAAGGTATTCAGGTTAGAACAAAATTAGATATTTAATATGTAAAACTGAGTAACTGACAAGAAGTTGTACTTATGCAACTAACAGTGTCTTTACAATTCTCAAATTAAAGTATTCTGCAGTCATACAGTCAGTTAATGGCAGGCATTGATTAAAATTCACCAAAATCTTGGTTCTCAGACTACAATGTCAGCAATCATGTATTAAAATGCAATTTAAAAAAATCCAAGCTACTTAACTTGGCTGACCTCATCTCCTGTCACTCTCCTTGTTATTCCCTCTGTTCCTGAAACATTGGTCTTCTTCTTGATCCTGGGACACACCAAGACGTCTCCTGTATTCAGATATATGCAGTGGCTATTCTCTCAGTCTGGAGGGATGCCTTCTGTCCCTGTCTATGTTGCCTAATTATAGGTGTCTCATCAGGGCTCGGATGAACAGTGAGAGGCAGGAATAGCGAAGATGGGTTTTTACCACTCCTTCCAGTGTGTTTCTATTCCCACCCAGGCTGTCCTAAACCTGTCAAGTTAAAGGCAGGACGTCAAGAAATGTAAACATCTCTCCCACATCAAGGAAGTTTCAGGCAAAAAGACAATCAGCATCTTAGACTGTTTAGCAACTTGAAGATGGTGAGTATTATCCTCATTAGAGCCTCCTATGTCTCCAGGCTGCCTCAAGTGTGAAGCTATTGATGAAGAGTAGACATAATCACTCTCTCAACCTCCCATAGTCATCAAACTGTTCTGTTCATAACACCACCAAACACTTGCATTTAGAAAGTGCCAGAATTCTTAAAGAATTCAAAAACTCTCAGAAAAAAATATTTTCTATGCAATAAAAGTCATAAAATGTGCAACACTCTTCCTTTTTTATGTCAGTATTTGGTTATGTAGAGAGGGTCCAATCATTGAAGATTATGTGTTTATATATGCATGAATTTGCATATATAAATTTATGTATTATATATTATTTTGAAATACACAAATTTAGTAAGTTTTAATATCAAAATAAAGCACAGAGCATGGTGAAGTTGGTGTGTTTAAAACTAATGTCTACTATAGATGATATCTTTTTCAATATTTCCAACTATTTTATTTATGTATTTATGTATGTATAGTTGACCTTTGAGCAACACTGGGAAAAGGGGCACGAACCTCCCTGGGCTGTTGAAAATCCATGTATAACTTTTGACTCTCCAAAAACTTAACTACTAATAGCCTACTGTTGACCAGAAGCCTTAGTGATAACACCAATAGTAGATTAACGCATATTTTACATGTTATATATTGCATTCTTAAACAAAGTAAGCTAGAGAAAAGAAAATGCTATTAAGAAAATCATAAGAAAGATATAATATATTTACTATTTATAAACTGTATGTGGATCATTATAAAATTCTTCATCTCCATAGTCTTCACATCGAATAGGCTGAGGAGAAGGAGAAAGAGGAAAGTTGCTCCTGTTGTCTCACAAGCAGCAGAGACAAAAGAAAAGCCACATGTAAGTGGACCCAGGCAGTTCAAACCCATATTGCTCAAGGGTCAACTATATTTCTTTAATATGTATTCATTATACATCTACTATGTGTTTGTCGTGCCCCAGGCATTAAAGAACACAATCAACAAACAAGATTAATATACTCATGGGGCTTACTTGCACTAGGGAATAGTAACAACAAAAAATGGATTGTGGTAAATGTTATGCTAAGAAAAGAAGTACGATGATGTGATAAAGAGACCCTGAGCATCATGTTAGCATTGCCTAGTCAAGGAGGAGCTCACAGAGAAGATGGCATTTAGGCTGAGACTGAGATCTAACTGACAAGAAACACCTATAATTAGGTAACATAGACAGGGACAGAAGGCATCCCTCCAGACTGAGAGAATAGCCACTGCATATATCTGAATATAGGAGACGTCTTGGTGTGTCCCAGGATCAAGAAGAAGACCAATGTTTCAGGAACAGAGGGAATAACAAGGAGAGTGACAGGAGATGAGGTAAGCCAAGTTAAGTAGCTTGGATTTTTTTAAATTGCATTTTAATACATGATTGCTGACATTGTAGTCTGAGAACCAAGATTTTGATGAATTTTAATCAATGCCTGCCATTAACTGACTGTATGACTGCAGAAGACTTATATCCTTTCTCTTGGCCTCAGAGCGACCTCAGCTGTGAAACAAAGAGATTGGATTAGAAAGCAGATGATCTATGAATTCCTTTTGAGTGCTAACATTCTATGATTCTAATCTTTGCCCTCAAAGATGAAGTTGAACACTCCCTTTTCTTAAAAGTACTGAGGCCCTTCTGTTAACTAGAGAAGTATAGCTCAGAGTATGCTGGTCATTTGCCCTGAATTGTAAAACTGCCAAGACTTAAGATAGGATGAGGAGCCAAAGATTGCATTTCCCCTGTTTTGTTGACATTTCTTACAAGACATATTTTCTGTGACTTTTCTTATTTTGCTCCTGTCTTTATTACTTTTCCAGTTTCTTACGAGTGCTTGATTAAAGCCCCTGTCTTCCCTACTTTCACCTCAACAAATAATAATTTTTTAAAAGGACAGAAAAGAAAGTATGAAAAAGGAAGTTATTAATTCTTTCCCTTATCCCAGGCACATTGGTTTTCCAAACTTTCCTTTGGAAATAAGATCCACTCATTTCTCTTTGTACAAAGGTGTTTGAAGATATAACGTAAATGTAAGCTTGAGCACCTTGTAGAAATTTCCAATTGGAAATATAAGCAATCAGCATAGTGATTTCCAGAGCCTGAAATGCACTGTGACCAAAGATTAGTTGGCTCTCACCATAAGTAATTTAGAAAGACCACTAAACCAACACTTCAATAGACTCATAGGGTTGCTAAATAAACAAGCAATACATGCACAAGATAAACCTTTTAACAGAACAGCTAAGAGATCTGGACTTTTAAAGAATATTTACCTTGGAACTGAGATAAAACCCAAGAATGAGTTTAAGGAAACAGACAGCACACAGAACACAGCCTCTCTTCAGTGGATCAAGAAGAGAAGAACGTTGTTTCTGATTTGTGGTATTTTTAGTTGCAGGGCTGTATTGATGCTATCTCTTTTCAGAGTCACATATGCTTTAGCAGGAAAAGAAACACTTATATTTAAATAACATACATATTTGTGAGTTTGTTATGTTGTGTAGTCTTTATTGTGCTTTAGGGGGCCAAAATACATTTGTCAGAAAACAAGTCTATTCTATTATGGAAAAGAAAATCTGACATACAGAAATTTTACTTTTAAGAAAACTATATATCCTATAAAGTTATTTTCAGGAAAACAAACCTTCTAGAAAAAAATATTGCTTAAGTTGCTAACAATGAGTCATTTGAGAAGTATTTTATTAAATAAAAGCATTTGACAACTGGGTTTAACACAGTTTTTTTAGTAATTAGCATTGTAAGCTTGGATAAGTTACTCAGCTTCTTTGAGCATCACCTGCAACTGCTAAATAAGGCAGTTGGATTAAGTGGCTTCAACTTGTAATTCAATGCTGAAATGCTGAAAATGTATTTTTAACACTACATATTACATTTGCATGGAGCATATGGTAAATATTTAATCAGTTAACCCACAATTTGGTAAAGAAAACTGAAACAGCGACACAATACTCTGCAAGTTAGGAAAGGGCATAATATATCCTGGAAGTAAATATTTAATCAGTTAAAAAACAATTTGGTAAAGAAAACTGAAAGAGCAAAACAATACTTTGCAAGTTAGGAAAGGGCGTAATTTATCCTGGAAGTATAATGGATAGAGTCCTGGAGATGTTATCGTAAAACTCTGGTTATTCCTCCTACTAGTCATAAAGAAATTTTGGAAAGATAATAAATTCTCTAGATCAAAATCTTATTTATGAAATAGGCATAACAGTATTTTCTTTTAATAACTATTGTGAACAATTAAGAACACAGGTACTGGAATCAGACAGTCATATTTTTAAAAATCTGCTTTTACCAGTTATGAGTTCTGTGATGTGGGAGCAATTTAATTTCCAATTGCCTTAATTTTCTCATCTGTAAAATGGAATGATACCAATACCAAAGCGAAAGAGTTGTAAGGAAAAGGTAAGAAAACACATGTGAAGCAATTAGAATAGCACTTAGCATTCAGTAAATGTTGGTGTTCAGTTATATTGTTATTACTAGAAATAGCTATGGTAGCAGCAGCAGTAGCAGTGGCATGTGAAAATCCAGGTACTAGGCAGAGAGAAATCAAAATGCTTTAAAGGCAAAGAAAATGTAGTCCTGTGGTCTGGAGTTATTAAAGATGGCTTGAGGATGGAACCACGGCTATGGGCAGATGTCAGTGAAGGGAGAAAAAGTCAAAAGGAAGACATTACAACCTGAGAGGACAGAATAATAAAAAAGTCGGAAGAGAAAACTCTAAGTGAGATTTCCCGGTAAAGATAGTAAAATAAATGTACATGCATATAGTCTTGCTTTTTTGTGAAATCCTAAGAAAATCACAAGGAAAAAAATGTTTTAAGGCATAAAACCATAAAAACAAAATAATAGAAGAAGAGAAAACAACAAAACTTTAGAATTGGTCGAGCAATTGGACTTATGCTAAATGACATAGAAGACATGAGCAATATGAATTCCAAGTTTGGAGTAAGAAAAGCTAAAATGTGACCAAATTTATGGCAGAAATCCCCACAACATTCAGAGGTTCTTCAGCACCAGGTGCCTCTAAGAGTAAAAATGAGAGTTGGGCTAAAAAGAGAATAATTCACTGAAGGCTTGCTTAAGAAACACCTCCTCAGATTCTCTTCTCAGGTTCAAACGATGGTATTATCTCGCTGAAATTAAAGAAATTATGTGCACCTTTTATATGCTAAGTGCTGAAATTCACCGTAATACCCCAGTCCCAGTCTAATCACTGCTAGGTCTCTAAAACACTGAAAATTAAACTAATATCCTGCAAGGAAAAGACTGGAATCTGAACAACCCAGTTGGCTTTCACTTCAGCAGCACATCTACTATACTTGCAATGAATAGTCCAAGCGGGCAGACATTAAGGGCTCAGCATTGAGGCTTCTTCCACAAAGGAGCCCATCAAAATCATCTCTACATTGAAGACTGTGGCTGACAAGTTCTACCACAGTACACAGAATTTCACATCAGCCTTTAAGGGCATCACTGTAAAAAATTACCAGATCATTCAAATAAATGCTAACATGAAAAATAGAGACCTAAATGCAAATAAAAAAGGACAAAAAAGCCACTCAGATATAATACGGGAAAAATGCAAGAAGGAAGTCAAAGTTATTAATACACAACATTCATAAAATAAGAACCGAAGCCCTTTACAAAAACAATTAATCTGACAATTTTAAAAAGAGTCTTGGAAATAAATATGAGAGCAGAAATAAAAACTTCAGTAGAAAGAGGGTTGCAACATAAAATTGGGAAAATTCCCTAAAAAGCAGGACCAGATGTCTAGGCAATGAAAAATAGGAGAGAACACAAAGAAAACTTAAAATCAGTTAGGTATTTTTAATATCCAAATAACAGGAGTTTCAGGAAGACAGCATTGATTAAACAAGAAGAAGAAGAAAGAAATCACAGTGGAAAACTACATTAAAATATATTCAGAATTGAAGCACATCAGTTGCCGAGTATCTGGCACAGTGAATGAAAACAGAATTATACCAAGATAGAGCAACATGAAATTGCAGAAAAGACCATACACATCTACAAAAAGAGAAATAAATAGTCACATACAAAGGATGAGGTATCAAAAATAGGGTTGAACTTCACAATAACAGAGCTAGAAGATATAAGACAATGCATCAAAGTCTTCAAATTCTGGGAGAAAATGAGCTGTGACATAAAATTCTATACCCAACCAAACTTTCAATTGAGTGGTACTAGAACAAAGACATTTTAAGACATGCCATAGTCTAAAAAATGTTATTTTTCATTATTCCTTTCTTATGAAACTACTGAGTGATGAGCTCTAGCAAAACAAGGAGATGATCAAAACAGAAGACATGGCTAAAACAAGAGGGAGTCTAACATGGGAAAAAGAAAGTCCCTAAGGTAACAAAGGCGATTGTAGGGCAATAGCTGTGCATGAAGCAGAGAAGACAGATCCACTAGGAGCACATGTTAAGAATTTTGATAAGATTTCTTCTGGAATATAAAATTAAAAGAATACTTGAAGATTTTGACAGTTCATGAAAAATTCGGGCTGGATTAGTGATATGTACAGAGAAAACTAAAGAAAGAAAAAAATCAAGTATTCATTCCAGAGGAAAGGAAAATTGCTCAGAAAAGAAAAAGAAACTATCATTTACTACACAGTTTATGATTTACCTAGTTATAATAGAGGAAACACTGAAAATGTATACAACCAAAATTATGATAACTATATTGGAGGGGCGGAAGAAATGAGAAGTGTGTGCAGACACATGTGTGAGGTCAATGGATAATGCCTAAACTGAAACATCTGTAAGTAGCATTGTATTTATCAATTCTTCTTAGCCTTGTTCAAGACATGGCACACACACACATAAATATAAGGCACACAGGAATAAATGCAAAAGGCTGATTGAGACTAGAGGCAACAGATGGGAACTCATACCACCTTGGGTTCCACCTGACCACCTCCAGGGAAGAGGGGACCAACATCTCCCCAAATCTGTAGCCTATTTGTTCCTTACTGTTTGAGAAGCTCTGATTTAGAGAGGGTGAGGTAAATACCAAAAGTATAAGTTAAATGAATAGGAAGTGATTTCCTCTGGAGAGAGATAGTAATGGGGTGGAGAAGAATGGGGGCAGAAATCTACTGTTTTTCATACAAATTTGTAGACCTATTTGACTTTTTAAACCATGTACATATATTACTTTAACTTTAAAAAGAAAACAAAATAAATTAAAAACCATAAACTATATTATAAAACTAAAGCTTGAACTAAATATAATGGCCAACACTGATTGAACATTTTTTAAATGCTTAAATGCCAGGCATATATTCATTTCCCCATTTGATTCTCATGACAAGGCAGCAAGCAATAATTATTGCTATTATACACATTTTTTTTATAGGGAGTCTTGCCCTGTTGCCCAGTCTGGAGTGTAATGGTGTGATCTTAGCTCACTGCAACTTTCACCTCCCAGGTTCAGGTGATTCTCCTGCCTCAGACTCCTGAGTAGCTGGGACTACAGGCGCATGCCACCATGCCTGGCTAATTTTTGTGTGTGTATATATATATATATATATATATTTTTTTTTTTTTAGTGGAGACAGGGTTTTGCCATGTTGGCCAGGCTGGTCTCAAACCCCTAACCTCACGTGATCTACCCGCCTCCCAAAGTGCTGGGATTACAGGTGTGATCCACTGTGCCTGGCCCTATTGTACATATTGTTAAAGAAGAAGAAATGTGGGGCAAGAGAAATTAAGTACATTGCCCATGTTGCTACACTAATAAATAACAAACTGGAGATCCAAAAAGACCTCTTCCATGTACCAGAGAGACCAAACTCCTAACCATCCTGCTGTGCCCTCTCTCAGGTGAGGTCAGGGCTGGTGGGGCCTGATTCTGGAGAACTTTGTATATCAGGCTAGACAAAGTCCCCTGAGTAGGCACTTTGGAAACAGTCTCTTCCAAAAATGTGTTCAAATGATATGTGTTCATATCAAACTGCTCAAGCCTAAAAAGAATAGAGTGTTCAAAACCAAGCCCCATCCCCTCCCCAGCGTTTCCATAGATCCTTTTCCATGATAGGACCTCACTGCCTCCCCTTGCCATATGGAAATGGTGTAGCACAGCTTTCTGTCTTTACTCAAGGAAGCCTCTTTCTATAGGGATGTAGTACTGTGATGATTGAACATGAAGGTTGAAAACAGAGACACAAACTTCCGTGGATGTTTAATGTTTTTAAACATCACTGCTATGTTTTGAATGTTTGTATTCCTCCAAAATTCATGTTGATACTTAATCCCCGATGCCATAGTATTAAGAGGCAGGGCCTTTACGAGGTGATTAAGTCATGAAGGCTGGGCCCTCGTGAGTGGAATTTGTGCGCTTGTAAGAGGGCATAAGAAAATCTGTTTGTTCTTTCTTTCCTCATCTGCCATGTGGAGAATGCAGCAAGAGCTGCCATTTATGAAGCAGAGAGTGAAACTTACCCAGACACCAAATCTGCCAGTGTCTTGATCTTGGACTTTGCAGTCTCCAGAACTGTGAGAAATAAATTTCTGTTGTTTATAAATTACCCAATCTAAGATATTTTGTTTTAGCAGCAGGATCAGACTAAGATAGTCACTATTGCTCAATATGTTTTCTAATATGAACTCTATTGTCTCATAAAATTCTTTTAGGTATATGCAAAGCGCATGTTCTAATCTAAAATTCAGTGGAAAAAAACTTTAAAAACATTGTTGGACACTTAAATTTAATGTAAAAATGACCCTGACTTGAAAATAGCTAACGCATGCAAGGTTTAATAGTTAGGTGATGGGCCAATGGGTGCGGCAAACCACTATGGCACATGTTTACCTATGTAACAAACCTGCGCATCCTGCAGGTGTACCCCAGAACTTAAATAAAATTAAAATGACCCTGATTTTAGCAACCATACCATTAGGAGGTTTTCTGTCATTTTTACTATTTTAAAGCTTTTCTGAATATTTACTTCCAGAAAAACTCTAATACACACACACAGCCACACACACACATACACCACCCCCACCCACCCACCCACCCACACACACACACACAAAGAAGCAGGAGGAAGTGAATAAGTTTTAAAAGGATAATAGCAAAGAGCTGTGCTAATCTCTAATCAAAAATATTTTATCAAAGAAAACTATTAGATGATTTAACCTAATCAATGAAATTTAATTGACTGGATATGCCTATTTCTGTACATGACTTCTGTTTCTGTACAAACCAGACATGTACACTTTTGTACCACAGATCTACCCAAAACCTTCCAGATGCCCCATGCTCATCACATATGCACACACACACACACACAACACACTCATACACAACGTTGATTATAGAGTAATTATCCCTGTGTAAATCTAGATTCCCTCTCAGAATCACATCTCATTTCACAGCAAGGGTTAGGCTGGCCCAATTTCATACTCTGAAGTTGGATTTCCCATAGCCAACCAAACAATTCTCCAACTGGCTTCTATCTCTTAACTCCCCCTCACTCACCACCATCCCACTATACACAGGATTCATTCTTGAGTTTTACAGAAAGAAGTTCCTTTTCTCTAGGAGATAAGTCATGAAAGGGTGATCATTAAAAACCTGACCTTTCTTGACTATAAAGACATTCATTTTACTTTCTTTTCTTAAAGAAGGATTTTATAATTTAAATATATAATATATATTAGTCATATATTATAAAGTTATATATAATATATTATATATATTATAAAGTTATATATAATATATTATATATATTATAAAGTTATATATAATATATAATATATTATATATTATAAAGTTATAATATATATTATATTATAAAGTGATACATAATATATAATCTATACACTACAAGTGATACATAATATATAATCTATACACTGCAAGTGATACATAATATATAATCTATACACTGCAAGTGATACATAATATATGATCTATACACTGCAAGTGATACATAATATATGACCTATACACTGCAAGTGATACATAATATATGACCTATACACTGCAAGTGATACATAATATATGACCTATACACTGCAAGTGATACATAATATATGACCTATACACTGCAAGTGATACATAATATATGACCTATACACTGCAAGTGATACATAATATATGACCTATACACTGCAAGTGATACATAATATATGATATATACACTGCAAGTGATACATAATATATGATATATATTATAAAGTTATATATAATATATGATATATATTATAAAGTTATATATAATATATGATATATATTATAAAGTTATATATAATATATGATATATATTATAAAGTTATATATAATATATATTATAAAGTTATATATAATATATGATATATATTATAAAGTTATATATAATATATGATATATATTATAAAGTTATATATAATATATGATATATATATTATAAAGTTATATATAATATATGATATATATATTATAGTTATATATAATATATGATATATATATTATAGTTATATATAATATATGATATATATTATAAAGTTATATATAATATATGATATATATATTATAAAGTTATATATTATATTATATATTATATATTATAAAGTTATATATAATATATAATATACATTATATATTATAAAGTTATATATAATATATAATATATAATATATAATATACATTATATATTATAAAGTTATATATAATATATATTATATATTATAAAGTTATATATAATATATAATATATATTATATATTATAAAGTTATATATAGTATATAATATATATTATATATTATAAAGTTATATATTATATATAGTATATAATATATATTATATATTATAAAGTTATATATAATATATATTATATATTATAAAGTTATATATAATATATATTATATATTATAAAGTTATATATAATATATATTATATATTATAAAGTTATATATAATATATATTATATATTATAAAGTTATATATAATATATATTATATATTATAAAGTTATATATAATATATATTATATATTATAAAGTTATATATAATATATATTATATATTATAAAGTTATATATAATATATATTATATATTATAAAGTTATATATAATATATATTATATATTATAAAGTTATATATAATATATATTATATATTATAAAGTTATATATAATATATATTATATATTATAAAGTTATATATAATATATATTATATATTATAAAGTTATATATATAATATATTAAATATATAACTTTAATCCACTCCATAGGGTTTCATGGAGGCTTCATCACACTCTTCCATTCCAAGGCTACACAAAATACTATCCAGGGCACTGATTTCTTCATGGATGTATTAAATAATAATACATTCATCCATTCAATCAGAAAGTGTTTAAGGAATACCTACTTAATAGTGTTTGAAAGAGAGACAAGAAATCAAGCAATGAGCCTACTGGTTTAATGTTGAAATGGAGGAAAACATGATGGTCTGGATGCCCAGTGGAAGAGGTCAGCACCTAACCTGGACTTACAGTGGGAGAAGCTAGAAAGGATGAGGGCGGGGGATGCTACTCATCATGGAAAAAGAATGGTCTGAGCAGGGAAGAAGAGAATTGTCTGTGCAAATGACCAGAGCCACAGACAGTATCTAGGAAACAAAAGACTATTCTGCTGAAGCAAACAAGGAAAAAGGGATGGGTCAGGGTTGGCTTGTGAGCTGTGAAGGCTGAAGATCTGAGCAGGCATCAATCACATAAGCCCTTAAAAGCTAATTTTAGTGGTAAAAAACCATTGGAGAGGTTTTAAAAGGGCAGTAACATGATCACATTAGCATTTTCAGAATTTCACTGATTCTTGGCATTAGCTGGGCACTTTGGAGGTCTATGCTATACTTAAAAAGCAATCAAACCCTGATTATAACAAATCTATTAACATTTAACTGGAGTTGGATAATGGTTGTGTAACACCTGGAGATCACAAAATATTTCCAAATATATTTGTATATTTTATCATCATAACTATCTATAAGGCTACTGTGATTTTCCAATTTTTAGCACAGGGAAAGCTAAGACTCAGAAAAATGAAGTAGACTCTTGGGACTTGCTTTTATCCATGCCAGTTACACCCTATCAATGCTTTGTTAGCAACCTACTGCTCTGGGCCAGACGGAAAGTTCATGTGCTCACTTGGACAGCTTGTAACAAACAGCATAAACAGACACTAAAAACAGAAGGGCCAGTTGCAGTAGACTGAAATTTATGACTTACAAGATGATCCTGGCTGGGTATGGTGGCTCATACCTGTAATCCCAGCATTTTGAGAGGCCGAGGCGGACGGGTTGCTTGAGGTCAGGAGTTTGAGAGCAGCCTGGCCAATGTGGTGAAACCTGGTCTCTAATAAAAATACAAAAATTGCTTGGGCATGGTAGCAGGTGCCTGTAAATCCCAGCTACTCGGGAGGCTGAGGCATGAGAATCACTTGAACCCAGGAGGTGGAAAGTTGCAGTGAGCTGAGATTGTGCCACCACACACCAGCCTGGGTGAGAGAGCGAGACTCAAAAAAAAAAAAAAAAAAAAAAAAAAAAGATGATCCAGTAAAAAATGAAAAGACATGAATCTGAAAACCAGAAGATCTTCAGGGATTTTGCAAAGGTCTTGTTGACTTAATAAGGCATTAGTAGTAGTACTAATACCCTGTAGGTACTAATGCCCGAGGCTTGTCTTTTCAAAAGTGTTTTCCATGATATTAATAGCTGTTTTACAAGGAAAAGAAAATCTCAGTCAAATACATTTGGAAAATGCCATTTTCACCTCTTCTTCTTCGAGAAACTCTTACAAACTTGACTAGGGAGATTCTTTTTGCTAGGAAGGCTGCTTACTATCTTGCAGGATACCATTATTATATAGAACGCTTGGGGGAGCATTTTCATAAGCAGTACAGAAGATTGTTGCAGTAACCACCCCACAATTGGTCAGGCTTCTCCTGACTGATGCACACTCTTGTGCATTCCTCTTCCACTTCATTTTGAGTTGGGCTAAGCGATTTGCTTTGGACAGTGGATATCAACAAAGACAGTAAGTGGGTATTTATTAAAAGCCCACCCACCAGGGCTTGACCTCTTGGATCTCTTTCCACGAATCCTCAAGCTGTGAAGAAGTCTGGGGTGAAAGACCAAGTAGAGAGAAAGAGCCCAGCCATCTCAGCCATGCAGGTGAGCCCAGCCTCCAGCCAACTGGCCTGGTGCATGTTAGTGGTTTGAGTGAGCCTAAGCAAACACAGAATTGTGACAAATAATAAATCATTGTTGTTTGACATCATTACTTTTGGAATGGTTTGCTATGTAGCTACAGGTAACTGATACAGACAGTTAAACGTCCAAGGATGGCAGTGGTCCAAGAACGAGGGCATTTGAGCTCTATTGTGAACTCTGTTCTTTGCCTCAGTTTCCTTATATGTAGAAAGAAAAAGTCACAATAGATAACATCTAACGAGCCTTTCAGCTTCAACCTTATGTTTAATGTAAAAGGTATGTATTCCATGAAAATGTTCTACTATTTTGGCATCTGTTTGACCCCAAACTGCAGAGCTTGAGCTTAACATATATCTTGCATGTGAAAAAAGAGAGCCACACTTGAGAACTGGCAAATCAGGCTCCCTGTCCCTTCGGCTGACTTAGCCCAGATGTTACAATCGACGTATCCAAGTCTGGAGCGTGATTCTTTGCAAAATCGGAGGTGAGGTGATGGGCCAAAGGTCACAGGCTCTTCGACTCCTCACTTTTCCAGGCTCAGTGACTCTGTCAGCAGCAGCACGACCCTGGTGCTCTGAGCAGGGTTTGTGTTTACAGTGCACAGGACAGAAGAGCAACAAAAACCACCCCAATTCCCAGCCAAGCTTTCTAGCTGTCCGGAAGGAATAGGAGTGTGGGATCACACTCTGTTTATTTGTGGTTCTTTTAAGCGATGTCCAGAGACCTACATTTCATGCTTGTTTGAAAGTGTGTACGTAACTGGGGAAGCTGTTAAGCAGCAGTTGGCCTTCACTCCAGTTATTTACTTATTTAGTTATATGTCAGCATGCAGTTTATTGAGTCATAATTCTTTTCAGTGCTCTATGGTGACCAGCATTTGAGGGCATCAGAAGAAAGTCTGTATCTCATATTTATAAATATTTACCAGGACATCATATTTGGATGCTTCTATTTCAATTATCACAGGATTTTCGTTTGCTTGTTCAAAAGGGCTTTCATTGGTAATATGAATTACAAAAGAGGAGGGATAAAAGAAAAAAGAAAAAATATATTTGTTTCAGAGGGAGGAAAAAAATAAATGTCATCCAAAACAAACTGAAGCAAATTCCTTAAAAGTGCTTAAAACTATTTTAAGATGTGCAGATTCTAAAAAGTGAGAAAAAACAATAATTCATAATTATTGCTTTTTACCACGAATATCTAACCTAATGTAGAAAAGTATAGTTTAATTGTGGGAGAAAAATCAAATTTTTGCTATTTTGCATTGTGTGCATTGGCAGCATAAAAAATTGTTCTTCAGGAAAAATAAAATTCTAAATCAAGGGAGAAGAAAGCAGAAAGCTAAATGAATGTAGGACCTCAAAGAAATGCTACGGTTGTTACTTTTCTAAGAACACTGTCAACTACAATCTACAAGCAACATTTTCTAACTTGTACAATGTTGTAGAAATGTGCAGGCGGGATAAGTCCCTCTAACTCCTTTTGCAATACCTACAAGAATTTCACTCAAAGATGAGGCATTTTCCTTTGGCTGCTTGAAGGTTTTTCTGTGCAATACAAGAAGGCAAAGGCAGGACGACTCAGCACACCCCATGCAGAAAGAAACGACTGGGTTAAGATTTGTGTTCTTACTCATCTCTCCTGTTCACCTTTGTTTACTGTAATTTGCAGAAAAGAGGGGGTACAAGAGAAGCTGAATGATGGGGGATACTCCTCTTTTCTGTCTACAAGAAAGCTGAGTTACACCTAGGAACCAGAGCTACCTCTTCTTGGTTTTTAGGAAAATAACCACTGAAGACAGAACTAAGGAAGAATCTGGAAAGGTGTGGTCACTTCCTTGGCTACATTCTAACACTCATTTTTATAACCATCACTAGCAATCAGTCTTAAGAGATAAAAGTTTATTTGGAAATTCAGTCAGCATGTTAACTGTGGTTGAAAGCAAATGACTCCCCCTTCTCTCATTTTGGCCAGAGATTTACACCCTTTCCAAGCCAGCCTGGTCTTATTTATGTAACTGCACGAGAGAGTGGCTTCAGGTTGCCTCTTAAAATAACAAACCTATTTGTGCCTTGTGGGGCTGGGCCCAGACAATTGAAGCAACTTAGACCAAAACAACTCAGGTAACCAGAAAGTAGGAACAGGCAGCTTCAAGAGGCTTTTACCAAGATGTCTCCCCTTTAAATAAGACAGCCTGGTCCTGAGTCTGATTACTTAGACCTCAGAGATACGTAGAATTCTAAGGGACCACCACATGGTCTGGGTTCTGAATTGTTTCAGGTGCTAAAGGCCTTGAAATATGGACACCATCTTAATACAAAGCGTCTGTTAAGTGACACAACAAACAGACAGAAATGCTTTTTCTGCTTATCCTGGTAGACATAGGCATTGTAAGTACACTTTGGTGTCAGTTTTTGCTCAAAAGTAACCCTCCCCAAATTCCAGATGTTACACTGTAATTAATGCACACACACATCCACCCATAGTCATATACATGATATGTATTAATACATTTCTGTTATATCAAGAGTTATCAACTATTCTTTGTTACCTTTCATAAACCCACATGAAATTTAGAAGGAGAATAATCAGTGCTGTGCATAATTTGCAAAGGAGCTTAGATGAGGTATCCTTGGCTTTTTTCTCAATTCCAATGTCAAATGTTAAGTAAATCGACATTTCAGAGAGGAGAATAAAATATATTTCAATTTCAGCTAGGATAATAATACCATCCCTTTCTATAAAAGAAGTCACAAAAACTTTCTTTCTCCACAGGCTGTTAAATGGCGCCCCCTTCCTGTCAGTGGTGAATCTAGTCAAGGAGAAATATATATATGCACACACACATATATATTTAAACTAGATACATAATAAACTAGAAACAAATAATAAACAAGAAATATATGTATATATATAAAGAATGCTAGAAGATGAAAGAGAGAGGTATCTCATCTTCTAGATTTCAAACTGTTAGAGTTTGAAATGAATACTGTAGAATCTCAAGTAGACCCTTTTTTAAACATACAAAATAAACTAAGATTCAAAGTGGGGAAAGGTCTTATCAATTTATTAAATTATTCAAACAATTTTTAAGCAGTAACTGTGTTAATCACTGGAGATAAAGAAGGGTCCTGATACCGAGGGAACTCAAAATCTCATAGCGGAGGCTATGGGACTAAACGTAAACCAATTATTCCAATACAGGCCAAAAAGTGCTATAGTTGAGATGTTTCTAAAGTGTTGTTATAGAAATACTAAGTTTGCCAGAGCAGTTTAACGAGAGCTATCTAACAAGTAAGTTAGACAAATCACTCACCTTTAACTAGATGGTTAAATGTTGACCGGGCATAAAAGGTGGAAAGAGAATTCTGGACAACTAAAATGGAATTTCAAATTCTTAAAGGTTTGGAAAACATGTTAGAATGAGGATCAAGTACTTCCGGGTGGCAGCTGTGTAAGATCCATATGAGTGAATAACAGAAGGAGCTGAGTCTTTCATGTAAGACTGCAGGGTTTCAACTTCAGAGTCATGGTGATCACAGTTCAGTATGCGCTGTTATAGCTCAGTGCTGTCCTTTTGTTCCATTCAATAATCAGATCAATTATATAAAAAAAGGTTATGAGAGGCCAATTCTATGTTAAGCCTTGGAGTGCAGAAAAAAGGCTTCAGAGGTATCTTTTCTCTACATAGCCACAATATGAAGGTGTTATAAATCCACAGCAAGAACAGGGCAGAAGGCAGGGTCCAACAACATGTTATATACAATGTATTATATAGGGTCTTCATAAAGAAATAGTGAAAGGACTATATAGGTCATCTGTTATGCAAATGGGAAAGGGAATATGAAAATACATATAAACCTAATTTTTTAACATAAGGAAACATGAGAAGGGTTAAAATAAACAAAATTTGTCACCTAGATAGCAGAGGAGCAGGAATGAAGGGGTGACACTCCTCTGAGTGTATAATTTTGTAGTTTGGACTTTGGGAAGCATAGTAGTATTCCACATAGTAAAAAATAAAATTAACAAAGATGGTAGGGAAAACCTCAAACTAAATGCAAAAGAAACAAATCCAATTGTATTTGAAATGAAGAAAATAATGTTCTCACTCATAAGTGGAAGTTGAACAATGAGAACACATGGACACAGGGAGGGGAACAATACACACCGGGGCCAGTCGGCGGCTGGGGTGAGAGGGGAGGGAGAGCTTAGGACAAATAGCTAATACATGCAGGGCTTAAAACCTAGATTGACGGGTTGATAGGTGCAGCAAACCATCATGGCACAAGTATACCTATGTAACAAACCTACATATTCTGCACTTGCATCCCGGAACTTAAGGTAAAATTTAAAAAAAAGAAAAAGAAAATAATCATACTGAAGAAAAAATAAAATGAATGCAAGCAACTATAGAAGACAGTATTGTTAATATATTACTTCAGTCTAGGAAATTGAACTAAAACAAATCTGCAACTCCCGAGTATGTTTTTAATATATAGTCATTTGGGTTCAGCAATTCTAAAACTAATTTTGCTATTGTAGAATAGAGTAAATGTGTTGATGTCATTGCGAGCCAAGACTCTCACTGTGGAAGAAGGATGACAGAAATATAGTAATGGAGGGAAAAAGGATATTAAGGGCATGACTGGTGCAATTGACAAAACGGAATATGCAATGCAGATGCAATAAAAAATGTATTATTGTTACATTTCCTAAATTTGGTAACTGTACAGTGGTTACATAAGTTTGTAACTTTTTATTTTAGAAAATACATATGAAGATCTTAAAAGGTAAAGGAGTACAATATATGTAAACTATTCTCAAATAGTTCAGAAAAATTACAAAATATGCACATGCATGAGTGTGCACACATGTACGCACATATATTAAAAGATTGTAATAAAGCAAATACGGTGAAATGTTAAAAACTGATGAATCTTGGTAAATTGTATACAGAAGTTTTCAGTAATATTTTTGCAAACTTTCTGCTAGGCTGAAGCTACTTCAAAATAAAATTTAAAAATAAACAAATCCATAGAAGATGTGTGACCAAGTTTCATCTAATGATGTGAGCAACATGTGCCCAGTTCTTTTAATTAGTCAGGCAGCAACAGGCTGGCAACTCCAAATTGTCCTTCAGCACTGAATGTGTGTGCACATTTAGAGCCACTTTTAACAAGCACATAACAAAAAATCCATATACCTCAATTCAAGCCCCTAAGGGTCATCCAGGTTAGAGAACTGGCCTTGATAACTATAATGCCACACTCCAAGTACGGTCTTGGTGACATCATGAGCAGGACAAACATCCTGAAGAAAAGGGTTCCAATAATGCCCCCCCCCCCCCGCAAAATGCCTTAGCTCAGGTGATCCCTAGACAACGTGTTTTTAGATGAGTTATGACATTAATGCTGAGTTCTCTTCCTTCATGGCCATCATATTCTATCTTAATGAATGCGAAATCAGACAGTAAGGAATGAGGAAAAACAAGGGCATGGTATTATAGCTTTGCAAGCTCTATTCACAGGACAAATTATTTTAAAAGTTCCACCCCTGCCCCGACCTTGTTTTTTGTTTTTTTGTGTCTGTGGTTTTGTTGTTGTTTGAGACAGGGTTTTGCTATGTTGTCCAGGCTGGTCTCAAACTCTTAGGCTTCAGCCATCTTCCCAGTCAGCCTCCCAAGTAGCTGGGACTATAAGCACATACCACCATTCTCAGCTATGCCTTGAAAGATTCTAAAGAGGTGATACTATGAGCCAGATAGAGTTCTGGAAATAGAGTCCAAGTAAATTTGAAGTATCATGACTGACAGTGTCACTAATATTGTATATATTGAATCCTAATATGCCAGATGGTTTTTCTTCATTTTACTTTATTTTTTTTCTTTGACACGAAGTCTCACTCTGTTGCCCAGGCTGAAGTGCAGTGGTGTGACCCTGGCTCACTGCAACTTCCGCCTCCCGAGTTAAAGTGATTCTCTTGCTTCAGCCTCCTGAGTAGCTGGGATTACAGGCACGTGCCACCACACCTGGCTAATTTTTGTATGTTTAGTAGAGATGGGGTTTCACCATGTTGGCGAGGCTGGTCTCAAACCCCTGACCTCAGGTGGTCCACCTACCTCGACCTCCCAAAGTGCTGGGATTACAGGTGTGAGCCACCGCGCCTGGCTGGTTTGCTTTCATATAGTACCTTTCAGTCTGCAGAATGCTCTCAGGCATACCATCTCTATAGCAATAATACTGTCAATAATAACCATAGCAGTTATTTATGAAGCATTTATCCCACAGGGATTACTCTTTTAAGTGCTTAACACATATCTCATTTAATTGTTATGATAATCCAGTAAATAATTATTGTTATTCTCATTTTATATGAAGCTCAGATACATTAAACAACTTGCCTGACATAACAGACAATAAGTGGCAGAGCTAGAAGTCAAACACAAGACTGGCATTAAAATCTAAGTTCTTGATCACAATGTTCCCCATAATGGCCTTATGAGTATCATTTCCATTATTCAAATAAAGAATTTGAGGCCCTAAAAAGTTGAAGTATTTATGTAAGGTTGGAATAGCCTAGTCCAGGTCATTTGACTCTGAATCTGACATCATTCCCATTCTGATGCTACAAGAATCACATAAAACACTGCATAGAAGGTGCTCAGTAAATTGTGAAATTTGTGAATATAAGAGGATTAGATATCATTACCTTTAAAAACTTCCTCAGTGCATCATGAGAGCAAGCAGCAGCTGGAATTAAAAGGAAAGCTGTGCTGCTCTGGAATTCAGTCTGGCAATAAGAAAGTTAAACATACACTTGCTATTTGACCTAGCAATCCCACTCCTAGGTATTTACCCAAGAGAAATGAAAATATATGCTCACATAAAAATCTGGATGGAAAAGTTTATTGCAGCTTTATTCATAACTGCCAAAAACTGGAAACAACCCAAATGTCTTTCATCTGGTGAATGGATAAACACACTGGAACATCCATTCAATGGAATAGTATTTAGCAATAAAATGAAGTGAATTACTGATGCATGTGACAATACGGATGAACCACAAATGCATTATTCTAAATGAAAGAAGCCACATTCAAAAATTCGCATACTGTATGATTCCCCTTATACGATATTGTAGAAGAGGCAAAATATAAGGATATAGAACAGCGGTAGCCAGGGCTGGGTGTGAAAAAAGTATATTAACTGCAAAGAAGGGTAAGGGAACTTTTTTAAGTGATAGAAATATTCACTATCTTCAACGATCTGGTGGTCACGTGATTGCATGCATTTTATTAAAAACCATAGGACTTTATTCATAAAAGGGGTAAATTTTATTGAATGTAAATTATACTCCAATAACCCTGACTCAAAATAAAAAAAAAAAAAAAAACAGATTCTCTAAGAGTTGGCCAAATAGGTTGATGGGCACATTTGGCATCCTTCTGGCTTACTGGAAACACCTTTCAAGAAGGCATCAATAGGCCAGGCATGGTGCGTAATGCCTGTAATCCCAGCGCACTTTGAGAAGCTGAGGCGGGAGGATTACTTGAGGCCAGGTGTTTGAAGCTGCAGTGAGTTCAGTAATCGCATGCCACTGCATGCCAGCCTAGGTGATAGAGAAAAACCCCATCTCAAAAAAAAAAAAAGAGGAAGCCATCAATACCCTAAAGATGGTTCATCAGAGCTTTCCCAGGCAATCCATGTTCACTGAAGTCTTGTATGGATACATCTCCACATAAGATTTTTGCTGTCTCCTGACCTACTTTCATTTCTTGATTTCTTTTGCATAATTTAGCACTAGTAAAAATGCAGTCTATGCTGAATCATTAATCTAAGTGGACCTGAAGATCACTCACCTGCTTTGTTCTTTTCCCTGAAACCAACCTGTGTGTCCTGTCCTATCTGGAACTCCCCTTCCTCTTTCCAGCCCCTCCTCATGTTTCAAGATCCAGCTTAGCTTTGCCTCCCTGACCATTTCAGCCCACATGAATTCATAAACTGTTCCAATTCCAACCATGTGTTCTTTTGGTTCTTACTCTGCTACTGTTTGGTTGCCTATAGCCTCTTCCCGTGACTCTCATATAGATACAATGTGGTAGGCCTTACTAGTGGTCACAAATCTCAATTTGTCTTCTTATTTTTGGAGACAAGATAGACTTCATTTCCAAGATATCTTTACAGTTAAGTGGAGTCATGTGACAGTGGCCAAGGGACTGTGAGAATTGACATATGTTGCTTCCAGAACAGAGCTCAGAAGAGAAAACGTGAAATAACAATGGACTTGTTTTCCCTGTTTCTGCAAGTGTGGAAGTCTCCTATTAAGAACGTAGACAGGAATACTCTGAATTATGGAAGTGCCACATGGAAGATAGGTTCTGTAGATTCATCTGGATCTTTTGTGAACTGTGTGGAGTCAACACAAACTTTCTTGTGATAAGCTGTCAAGATTTGGGTGTTGTCACTGCAGTATAACCTAGGCTATCCTAATACAAAGAAATAGCACAGAAACACAGATGGTGGGTTAAAATTCAATCCCATAGAAACCAACCAGAGAAAGAGATGGGTTTTTATCCCTGAAACTCCAGAGTGTAACATGCTGCCTGAAACATGCAGAGGAAGTAGGTTCTCAATAAATGCCTATTGAACTGAAGCTGTAACTCAGTATTTTAAATACTTTCTTGGTTTAGGAACCTCAGGGAGGTTCACAACAATTCATTTGCAATCTTTAAGTCCATCTCTTGATTTTGAAGGTAAGGAAACTGAACTTTTGAGACAGACAAATATTTGGCCAGTTCGTTTTGGCCACACAGCTAGTTAGAGCCAAACAAAAACCTCTCTTAATCCAGTAATCATTCCACAGCACACAGCTCTCAAGAACAGATTACAATAATTTGAGACGATTCTTACTTTAGCTTGTTATTCTCCTTCTCCTAAAATAATGAAAGCATATCTTGAAGAAATATTGCTTAGAAATCAGATGTTCTTTATGCTTTTATTTCCTTTCAAGTAGATTACTTTCAAATATATTTAGTATCTCTTTACTCAAGAGGGATGCTAGAAGTCCTCCTCATTTTATATAGCTTGAGTGAAACCAAATAATGTTAAATGTGCCTTAAAAATAGAAAAATAAACATATGCACACAAGCACCCACACAAAATATTCCTGTGTCTAAAATAAGCATTTATTATGTTTTATTTTAGGAACACCTGGGGTTTAGGCATCTAAGTAAATAAAAATAAATATGAGCTCAAATGAAAAGAACACAAGGTTTGAAGTCAGAAAAAGGGGGTCAGAATCCAATTCTGCTAATTTGATGTACATGGGTTTGAACATTACAATTCACTCCTTTGAAATATGAACATGATATAATCTTCCGTGCTTACTCCACAGAATTGTTGTGAGACACAAATGAAATAATACAATCAATATCATTTAAAATTAGCACATCCAAGGGAGAAAACAGGCTTCTCTCTCTCAGCAAAAGCAAATATTCCACTTAAGCAAACAGATAAATTTTCTTCACAGTACAATTTTGCATTTTCTCAAGACCGCTGTGTTGCTAATTGTTCATGTCAGACCAAAAAATACTTGTAATGCATCTCTCCATCGATGTACTTACATTCCAGCTAAATGCTACAGTTTGTGCTATCTTCAATTCTTCACCCCAGTCACAGGTGGGGAGTTCTCGCTTCTCATCAGGTGCTGTCTACACTCCCCACCCTGCTCCTTCTCTCCTGCCTATATGGGTTTTCATCAACCAGTGCAGGAAATCAGATGAGATTGCCCTTGCGGTGGACAGAAAGCTGGGGGCATTGGAGGGCCTCATGCAGGTTAGGAGAGATGTGAAGGAAATGCTGCAGTGTTGGGAGAATGGACGTTGATAGCACTGTAGGTGGGAAAGCTGGTCTGGATAATGTCCACAATATATTCCTGCTCCTGACATTGCTGGACGTATTCCTGTGTCACTTGGTGGGAAACTATTTTGTAGGCTCACCCTTCATTCAGCAAACCATGTTTTTGCAGCCCTTTGAACTGCAGTTGCTGGCTCCAGGATTCTGCCAGCACCGAGGACCTCAGTAGCTGCTTTTCCACCATCGCGGAGCTCCCAGTTAAGTCGCACTCCAGGCTCTCATGGCATAAATTAGGAACAGAAAAACCATGTTTTAACTCATGGCTCTGAAAAGCAATCAGTAGAGCCATGAGGCCTGCTTTGGCAAAGGTTCTCTCTCAGTGAGGGAAATAGGACAGCCCAGCCAATCAGTCTGCCGCTCATTTTCCAGCCCATGGAAGCGGAGCCACCAGTGGGCACTAGGCTGCCTGTTTTCAGTGGCTCTGCTCCCAAGCCTGTGGCAGCATCCTTGTTGTGATTTTGGCAAGCTCAGAAGAGTAGTGGGAGATGGCCGTTGCTAGTGTTCTCTAATTGGGAGGCTAACTGCTTGCCTTCCAGATTTACTGTTCCCAAGGTCTGAAGGACATGCAGCTTAGGTCCTGGCGAGTCGTGGATGGCTTTGTGTTACTGTTTGGAAACTTTTTATTATGTTCTGATGTAAGTGGTATGGGGGAGTCACTCCTTGAGATAACTCATCCTCTAAGTTTCAAAGGTGACACT
The DNA here is from genome assembly GCF_000001405.40 of Homo sapiens. Taxonomy (NCBI): domain Eukaryota; kingdom Metazoa; phylum Chordata; class Mammalia; order Primates; family Hominidae; genus Homo; species Homo sapiens. The sequence goes on along the minus strand of NC_000002.12, from coordinate 18,742,282 downwards.
GAACTTTCCCATTCTCTCCTATGTATGCACTGCCCATCAGTCATACAAATGCAACACCGACATCGGCAGGGGGGTGGGGCAGTGGCAGTACCACCAGTTTCCTCCGCCTCCTGCTCTTAAGCTTTGCTCTGAGCTGCACACAAATCCACAGCTCCGTTTTCCTTTCTTGGCCCTGGGCCCCTTCTCTCCGGCACTCTGTTTCAAAACATCACAAGCCACACAGGTGGTTTTTGTTGCACCACAGCTCGTATTCTTGACAGATCCTACATCTGCACATTAATACTCCTTGATGCCTCCAGCCTGAAACTTTCCCAGACACACTGGCCTAAGAGCCTCAGAAGCAATACATGAGGGGAACTAACGACATAGGAATTCCTTACTAGGTCTGAGGGTTGGGGGGTCGTGGTGTTTTAAACAAGAGAAGCTTCATGGTCATTTGGCTCAGAACTTCAAGGCATTTGACTATGTTAGTAGAAAATCACCCTCCTTTCAGAGCAATGAGTGCTTCAGGCAGGGCCCTGGGGCACCTCCAAGTTACTGTAATCATGAGGTATCACCATTGCCACAATTTCAATCACACAGTTAATGTTTTTTGAGTGAATATATGAATAAACAATAATAATAATTGTTAACATTTATTGGGTCCTTTCTATTTGTAAGGCACTGGTCTAAATTCAATAACATCTCTAATGCTCAAAACTTCCACATAAGGTAGGTACTAATTTACACACTTTACAGATAAGAAAACTGACTAACCAAATAAACAAATAATCTGACCTAAACCACACAGTTGGTTTAATGACAGAGCAAGGAACAGAATCTAGATTATGGGTTCCCAAGCCCAGGCTAGCTAACTCCATTTAATCATGCTGAACTCTTTAAAAAAGGGAGGGGTGGTGTGACAAACAGAACCAGGGTCTTGAAAATAAACTGCCCAAAACTTGATTTCCATACTGGAGTCTGTCTTCTAAGCCATTAGAACATTTCACTGGGTGGAAGAAACACTTTTCCCATTTTACTAGCATGCAGCAACAAAGAACAGGAAGAAAAGAATGTGGGTTGGAATGAGAGAAGAAAAGCTTCCCAGATTTAACAAGAAATAAAAAGTAGGGGGAAAAAATCATCTCCCAGGAAGGCTGGAAAGAAGAGAACAGCACCATCCCTAAGGATATGAAATAGATGAGTAGAGGGACTTTCAATAAATCAGAGATTTTGGAGACGACGGCCAATAAAAAGAAACACTGTGGAAGCAGCCCCTGAGTGTCCATTTCCTCCCTTTATTCTGAAATAACATGAATTTTAAGTATCACCAGAGATAAATTTACAATGATTCCAAAATGTTGTTTCTTTACATCTAGAATTATTTTGGCACTCACCCTGAGAAATTTGGTGGTGGTAAAATGTTGTCAGGATAGAGGAAGGGGGAGTTCGGATATATAGTGGGTCAACACAGGGTTCAAGCCATCCATCGGGACCTGACATCAAGCTGCAGAAGAATGAGCAGCGCAGGAGGGGCCTGGTGGACTGCCTGCTGGAGAAAAGTGACAGAGGGCCCAGCCAGCGGGCTTCTTGAGACAGCTGGAGGGCGGCCTGGGTCCAAAGCGCATGCCTAACCCATGACTTATGGAGGACCTGACTGGCCTGACCTCAGCATGATAAAGAATTGTGCTGGAACTGACCACAACCCTTTTTCTGGGCTTCAATTTCTGCCCTGAGGAGGGCCTCCACCACCCTCCCAGCATGATGAGGTTATGAACGATATCTGTGGATCTCAACCACAGGGAATGCTCTGGGAACATTCTCAGAACACACATCTTCAATCTCTTCCACTTGATTATCTAGTTTTGATTCCATCTACGGTTTGGGTGGATGGCTGAGAATAGAAAATCAGAGAGGGAAGTTTAACTCTGGTGAGTATAACATTCTGAAACATAGTTGTGAAACTGAATTTGATGTCTCTGCAGGGAGTTTGTAGGTACCCAAATACAGAAACGATCAAGCTAGTACTAACCAGTTGTTAGATAAATTCAATATTTCTGTTTATTTATTTCCACATCTTAACAGATAGATGAGTAATAATGTTAGTGTAAATGTTAATCATTTTAAATGTCCTTTTGGACATGTAATAAAAAGGTACTACGTGGAAATAACAAGCTATGAACTGTGCAGGGAGGTGTTGGCAAAACATATTATACTTAAGGCATTGCCCCTATTTTCCTGATAATTGCGATTTAGTTGAGAACAGACTGAAATGGATTTCATCACCTTGTAATGTTCCCATGAAAATCTTAGACCAGAAATGTAAAGCAGTGTGGGGTGACATGGAATAGGTAGAAGGTATCTAAGTGTTCTCACCATACAATAGACCTTCCTCAAATGCCTCCTTGGGTCTCCAAAGCATCTTAGTCTGTTCGAACCTCTGTAACAAAATACCATATACTGGCTGACATGTAAACAACAGAATTGTATTTCTCACAGTTCTAGAGGATGGAAGCCTGAGATCAAGGGATTTGGTCAGTTTGGTGTCTGGTGAAGCCCTTCTTCCTAGATGGCCATCTTTTCACTATAATCTCACATGGAAGAAGGAGTGAGGGATCTCTCTGGGGCTTCTTTCCAAAGGCACTAACCCCATTCATTAGGACTCCACCCTTATGACCTAATCACCCCCGAAAGGCTCCACCTCCTTATACCACACCATCAGTTTGGGGGTTGAGATTTCAACAAATGAATTTGGAGGAAACATAAACCTTCAGACCACAGCAACTAGGCATCTGAAGGAAAGGAAGAAGGAAGACAAATGTGTTCCAACGTCCAAGACACAAAGAGTTTTGCATCATAAAAACTGCATAGCATTCAGGGGACAGGGCAAAATGGCCAGGCTTGCCCCAGGTGGGGAGTCTAACAGGAGACCCATGCATGAAGTTGAAATCCCACTGGCCTATACTCTTTGTAGAAGGTTGAATGAGAAATAAACCACTGCCAAGAATAGAAGAGCAGGGAAACTTTACAGTCTGCATTGGCACTAGTGGAGGGGAAAAATTCATCCTGAGATTTTATAACCTCCACAGACCCTTCACAGGTTTGCCATCCAAATTTATGCCACCTGTGAGGTCTGAAAAATCTCAAATGGACAATTTAATTTAAAGTGGTCCTAGGCCAGCAGTGCCCCCCCAGGAAACTGGCAGAAGCAAACACAAATCATTTCTAGAGGAATAGTAATTCAACCCAGGTTTCAAAGAATTCCCACAGATAAAGTTCCAAGGAAAATGAGCAACTCACTGAAAAATAGAAAAACACACAGAAACAAGGCACCTTGAATGAAATGCAGGAGAGTCAGGTTACTGAATATATCAGATATTGTCATGACCAGAGAATATACAACTTTATTTACTTTGAAGAAATAGAGAAGCATAAAAATATAAACAAAAAATAAATGTAATTTTTAAATTGTAGGGATATTTTTTAAAGAAGCAAATAAAATATTAGAAATGAAGAGCTATAACGGTTGAAATTAAAAGCATACTGGATAGGTTAAATAGAAGATTAAAGTAGACAACATTGAGTGGCCTAGAAAATAGATTTAAAAGATAATGTGAAAAATGTGACCCAGAAAGACAAAGAGATAGAAAATAGGAAAAAGAAATTAAGAGCCAGAGCAGAGAGTGGGGAAAGCCAACAATTATTTAGTTATAGTTTTAGAAGGAGATAATAGAATGAAAATGAGCCAATATTTAATGACATTATGTTTGACAATTATCCAGACCCACGAAGGACACCAGTTCTCAGATCCAAGAAGCCCAATTAATTCGAAAAAGAATAAATATGAAATAAACTTCACACAAAGACATATTATAGTGAAGCCATGAGCATCAAAGAAAAATAGTCCTTAAAGCCAGTAGACAGCACGAACACATCACATAAATATCAATTAAACAGACGACTCATTTCACATTAGTATATATGGACATGAGAAGACAATGCAATGCCCTGAATGTTATGCCCAATGCAATTATTTTTTCAAGAATGAGAATAAAATTAAAACATTTTTTGGCATGATAAAATATGAAGTATACCACCAACATGTCTACACTAAAGGAAATTCTAAAAGAAAGAAAAGAAGAAGCAGGAAAGAATAGTGAGCAAAGAAATTATGAATAGTGAGTTAATCCAAACAAATACTATGTCAAAGTAATCATGTTTAATTTGTGGGGAAATACAACTAAAATATGGGACAACAGCTAGATATTAGTTGGAAGATAGGATAAGACAATTTAAGTAATTTATGCCTTGCTACTCCAAGCTTGTTCCAGAAGCTTTGACATCACTCAGGAGCTTATTAGAAATCCAGATTCTCAGACCCCACCCCAGATCTGCTGAATCAGAATCTGCATTATAACAAGATCCCCAGATTATTTGAATGTATTTTAAAGTTTGAGAATTTAAAGTTTGAAACTTTGTTAATATGCAAGTTAAGAAACTAGAGTAATCACTGAAAGCATAGGCATAGAGCATAACTTACAAACGGCAGGAAAAAAAAGTGATCCAATGAGGGGGAAAAAAACATGCACCAATGTTTGTAAGTCAGTACAGGCTAGTTACTTGATTCAAAAACTCCTCTTAAATCACAGGCTTAAAACAACAAAGGTTAATTTCTCACTCAAGCTGCATGCACATATTTTGCAAGTTGAAAAGGGAACCTCAGAGTCCAGATTTAACTAATTTCTTATACATTTGGGTTTAAATCAATAATCTGACCTTTTGAATTCTAATTATTTCTTTTAGCATGGAACTGTAAATAAAAATTTTCTTCATAATATGAAATGTCCTTATTTTGCCTTCATTTTTGAAGTTTATTTGTCTGGATATAGAATTCTAGGTTTCCATAAATTTTCTTTAGTGCTTTTTTTTTCATTATACTTTAAGTTCTGGGGTACATGTGCAGAACGTGCAGGTTTGTTACATAGGTATACATATGCCATGGTGGTTTGCTGCACCAATGAACCCGTCATCTACATTAGGTATTTATCATGCTATGCCTCCCCCAGCCTCCCTCCCCCCAACAGGCCCCAGTGTGTGATGTTCCCCTCCCTGTGTCCATGTGGTCTCATTGTTCAACTCCCACTTATGAGTGAGAACATGTGGTGTTTGGTTTTCTGTTCTTGTGTTAGTTTGCTAAGAATGATGGTTTCCAGCTTCATCTATGTCCCTGCAAAGTACAAGAACTCATTGTTTTTTAGGGCTGCAGAGTATTCCAAGGTGTATATGTGCCACAGTTTCTTAATCCAGTCTATCATTGATGGGCATTTGGGTGGGTTCCAAGTTTTTGCTATTGTGAACAGTGCTGCAACAAACATATGTGTGCATGTGTCTTTATAGTAGAATGACTTATAATCCTTTGGGTGTATACCCAGTAATGGGATCGCTGGGTCAAATGGTATTTTCAGTTCTAGATCCTTGAGGAATTGCCACACTGTCTTCCACAATAGTTGAACTAATTGACTACCGGGGAACCTGCCCCGATAGTCACATAGGTTCTTTTCTGTTTTCCCTAAGCATCGGCCGGCTTGAGAAATAAAGGGACAGAGTACAAAAGAGAGAAATTTTAAAGCTGGGCATCTGGGGGAGACATCACACGTCGGTAGGTTCCGTGATGCCCCACAAGCTGCAAAAAGCAGCAAGTTTTTATTAGGGATTTTCAAAAGGGGAGGGAGTGTGCGAATAGGTGTGGGTCACAGACATTAAGTACTTCACAAGGTAATAGAATATCACAAGGCAAATGGAGGCAGGGCGAGATCACAGGACCACAGGACCAGGGTGAAATTAAAATTGCTAATGAAGTTTTGGGCACCACTGTCATTGATAACATCTTATCAGGAGACAGGGTTTTAAGAGCAACTGGTCTGACCAAAATTTATTAGGCGGGAATTTCCTCTTCCTAATAAGCCTGGGAGTGCTATGGGAGACTGGGGTCTATTTCACCCCTACAGTCTACAGACCATAAAAGACGGGCATGCCCAGGGGGCCGTCTATAGGCCTATACCCCTAGGCACGTATTCTCTTTCCCAGGGATGTTTCTTGTTGAGAAAAAGAATTTAGTGATATTTCTCCCATTTGTTTTTGAAAGAAGAGAAATATGGCTCTGTTTCGCCCAGCTCACCGGTGGTCAGAGTTTAAGGTTATCTCTCTTATTTCCTGAACAATTGTTGTTATCCTGTTTTTTTTTAAGGTGCCCAGATTTCATATTGTTCAAAAACACATGCTCTATAATTTGTGCAGTTAATGCAATTATCACATGGTCCTGAGGTAACATACATCTTCCTCAACTGACAGGATTAAGAGATTAAAGTAAAGGCAGGCATAGGAAATCACAAGGGTATTGATTGGGGAAGTGATAAGTGTTCATGAAATCTTCACAATTTATGTTTAGAGATTGTAGTAAACACAGGCATAAGAAATTATAAAAGCATTAATCTGGGGAACTAATAAATGTCCATGAAATCTTCACAATCCACGTTTTTCTGCCATGGCTTCAGCCGGTCCGTTTGGGGTCCCTGACTTCCCACAACAATTTACACTCCCACCAACAATGTAAAAGCATTCCTATTACTCCACATCCTCTCCAGCATCTGTTGTTTCCTGACTTTTTAGTGATCACCATTCTAACTGGCATGAGATGGTGTCTCATTGTGGTTTTGATTTGCATTTCTCTAATGACCAGTGATGATGAGCATTTTTTCATATGTTTGTTGGCTGCATAAATGTCTTCTTTTGGGAAGTGTCTGTTCGTATCCTTCACCCACTTTTTGATGGGGTTGTTTTTCTCTTGTAAATTTGTTCAAGTTCTTTGTAGATTCTGGATATTAGCCCTTTGTCAGATGGATAGAGTTCAAAATTTTTTCCTATTCTGTAGATTGCCTATTCACTCTGATGATAGTTTCTTTTGCTATGCAGAAGGTCTGTAGCTTAATTAGATCCCATTTGTCTATTTTGGCTTTTGTTGCCATTGCCTTTGGTGTTTTAGTCATAAAGTCTTTGCCCATGCCTATGTCCTGAATGGTATTGCCTAAATTTTCTTCTAGGAGTTTTATGGTTTTAGGTCTTAAGTTTCAGTCTTTAATCTATCTTAATTTTTGTATAAGGCGTAGGAAGGGATTCAGTTTCAGCTTTCTGTATATAGCTAGCCAGTTTTCTCAACACCATTTATTAAATAGGGAATCCTTTCCCCATTGCTTGTTTTTGTCAGGTTTGTCAAAGATCAGATAGTTGTAGATGTGTGGTGTTAATTCTGAGGCCTCTGTTCTGTTCCATTGGTCTATATACATGTTTTGGTACCAGTACCATGCTGTTTTGGTTACTGTAGCCTTGTAGTATGGTCTGAAGTCAGGTAGCGTGATGCCTCCAGCTTTGTTCTTTTTGCCTAGGATTATCTTGGCTATGTGGGCTCTTTTTTGGCTCCATATGAAATTTAAAGTAGTTTTTTTCTAATTCTGTCAAGAAAGTCAATGGTAGCTTGATGGGGATAGCATTGAATGTATAAATTACTTTGAGCAGTACAGCCATTTTCACGACATTGATTATTCCTACCCATGAGCATGGAATGTTTTCCCATTTGTTTGTGTCCTCTCTGATTTCTTTGAGCAGTGGTTTGTAGTTATCCTTGAAGAGGTCCTTTACATCCCTTGTAAGTTGTATTCCTAGGTATTTAATTCTCTTTGTAGCAATTGTGAATGGGAGTTCACTCATGATTCGGCTCTCTGTTATTGGTGTATAGGAACACTTGTGATTTTTGCACATTTATTTTGTATCCTGAGACTTTGCTGAAGTTGCTTATCAGCTTAAGGAGATTTTGGGCTGAGATGATGGGGTTTTCTAAATATACAATCATGTCATCTGCAAACAGACACAATTTGACTTCCTCTCTTCCTATTCGAATACCTTTATTTCTTTTTCTTGCCTGATTGCCCTGGCCAGAGCTTCCAATACTATGTGGAATAGGAGTGGTGAGAGACGACATCCTTGTCTTGTGCCGGTTTTCAAAGGCAATGATTCCAGCTTTTGCCCATTCAGTATGATATTGGCTGTGGGTTTGTCATAAATAGCTCTTATTATTTTGAGGCATGTTCCATTAATACCTAGTTTATTGAGAGTTTTTAGCATGAAGGGCTGTTGAATTTTGTCAAAGGCCTTTTCTGCAACTACTGAAATAATCGCGTGGTTTTTGTCATTGGTTCTGTTTATGTGATGGGTTATGTTTATTGATTTGCGTATGTTGAACCAGCCTTGCATCCCAGGTATGAAGCCGACTTGATCGTGGTGGATAAGCTTTTTATGTGCTGCTGGATTCGGTTTGCCAGTATTTTATTGAAGATTTTTGCATCGATGTTCATCAGGGATATTGGCTTAAAATTTTCTTTTTTTGTTGTGTCTCTGCCAGATTTTGGTATCAGGATGATGCTGGCCTCATAAAATGAGTTAGGGAGGATTCCTGCTTTTTCCATTGTTTGGAATCATTTCAGAAGGAGTGGTACCAGCTCCTCTTTGTACCTTTGGTAGAATTCAGCTGTGAATCCGTTAAAATTTCAATTCATTGTTTTCAAGTTTGTATTACTCTTTTTGATAAGTTAGCAGTTTTCCTTACTGTATTACTGTTGCTCATTTGAAGGTAAAATGTATTTTTTTGGGCTGCCTTTAAGATGTCCTTCTGTCTTCTGTTTTCAGTAGTTTTACTATTCTGTGCCTGCATTTTTGTGTGTTTGTTAGCTTATTTATCTGTTTAGGGTTTGCAATTATTCTTGAACTATGCATCTTGATGGCTTCCATGAGTTTGGGACAATTCTTGACCATTATCTCTTCAAATGTTGTTTCCTCCATAATTTCTTTGCCTCTTCTGGGACTTCATTGTACAATATGTCAGATGTTTTCACCATGACCCAAGTGGCTTTTATGCAGTTTTATGTAGCTTACATCTTTTTCTTCTCTGTGTGCAGAGTGTGGATATTTGATAGTAACTTATCTTTCTTACTTATCCTCCCTTCTGATCTGGTTAATCTGATACTAAATCTGTATATTAAATTCATGGTTTTCCATTTTCATCAGGTGATTGTGTATATCCTAGTTCCCCCAGTGAAGTTCTTACTCTTGACATGTATTATTTTGATTATAGTAATCACTGTCATTTTAAAGTAGATGTCAAATAATAAATGGACCACTTGATTGGATTCTATTGTCTGTATTTTCTCTCGGTTTGGGTCATTTGGTCCTGTTTTGTGACATACTTCATGACTTTTTATTTAACATTAGACATTATGAATGAAAAATATGTAAAGATCATTCAAAATTTGATTTATCTTCCTCCAAAGAGGAAGTAGATTTGCTTGCTGGCAGGCATTTAGAATAGGTACAGATTATTATAATCCAGCCTGGGGTTGAACTGCTTCAAAGCTCAATTCCAGTTTTTATGAGGGCCGATCTATTTTGAGTTTGCCTTTGCTTCTGGTATGTATGCCTTGAGGGTTCTAACTGGAAGAAGGGGCTTTACCAGGCCTTTGTCTCTTTGGTAGAGCATGAATCCAACTTTTTTCTCCTCTGGTCCCATGAGATTCCAAAATGCTCTGCTCAATTAGCTGCTGCTTTCTGCTCAACTTTTTAGGCTCTTCACCCATGCCAAGAACAACAAATACCATTTTTTTTGTATAAATTTAAGGGGTACAAGTGCGATTTGGTTACATGACTATTTTGCATAGTATGAAGATGAAGTCTGGGCTTTTAGTGTACCTATCACCTGAATAGTATACATTGTACTTATTAAGTAATTTCTCATCATCCACCCTCTCCCATCCCCCAATCCTTCTGTGTCTCCAGTGTCTATCATTCCATACTTTATGTCCCTGTATGCACATTATTTAGTGCCCACTGATGAAAGAGAACATACAATATTTGTTTTTCTCTGTCTGAGTTTTTACTTAAGATAATGGCTTCCAGTTCCATCCATGTTACTACAGAAGGCATGATTTCATTCTTTTTCATGGTTGAATATTATTCTATTGTGTGTGTGTGTGCATGTGTGTGTGCATGTATGTGTGTATGTGTGTATCTCACATTTTCTTTACCCAATCATCTATTGATGGACACTGAGGTTGATTCCTTATCTTTTCAATTGTGAATAGTGCTGCAATAAACATAAAAATGCAGGTATCTTTTTATATGATGATTTATTTTCTTTTAGGTAGATACCCAGTAGTGGGACTGCTGAATTGAATGGCTGTTTTATTTTTAGTTATTTAAGAAATCTCCATACTGTTTCTTCATAGAGGCTGTACTAATTTACATTCCCACCAACAGCGTATAAGCATTCCCTTTTCTCTGCATCTTTGCCAACATCTGTTTTTTTATTTTTTTGTCTTTTTAATAATAGCCATTCTGGCTGGTGTAGGATAATATCTCATTGTGGTTTTAATTTGCATTTCTCTGATGATTACTGATGTTGAGCAATTTTCATGCTTGTTGGCCATCTGTATGTCTTCTTTTGAAAAATGTCTATTCATATCCTTCGCCCCCTTTTTAGTAAGGTTACACTGGGGAAAGGACATCCTTTTAAATAAATGGTGTTTGGGAAGTTGGATTGCCATATGTACATAAAATAATAAAACTGGACCCCATCTCTCATCATATATAAAAATCAACGAAAGATGGGTTAAAAACTTAAATGTAAGACCCAAAACTATAAAAAATACTAGAAGAAAACCTAGGGAAGACTCTTCTGTACATTGGTTTAGGCAAAGAATTCATGACCAAGGCCCCAAAAGCTCAAGCAACAAAAACAAAAATATACAAATGGGACTTAATTAAACAAAAAAGATTCTAAACAGCAAAAGAAAAGACAACGTACAGAATGGGAGAAAATATTTGCAAACTATGCATTGGACAGGGGAAAAATATCCAGAATTTATAAGAAAGCCAAAATCTCAACAAAAAAGAACAGAAAATATCTTGAGTAAAAAAAAAAATCAAAATTTTCAGTTCATCTCAGTGTACTTATTTACCTTCTTTCTAGATTCTGGGACCTTCTAGTCCTGGTTGCCTTAGTAGCTCTCCAGTACCTACATGGATATTTTTCTGCCTTCTCTAGATGTTCCTGGTTGGAGCCTTGGTATGCAACAAGCTACTCTATAATTATGGGAAAGAGAACTCCACATTTCATCTTTGAATTCAGAATCTTGTAAACATTCAATTATGATAGGAAAAGAGAAACATAAAAATTTACTTTGTACATACAAACACAGAACATTTAGTGCCCTGACATTCTGTGTGAATAGCAAAATGAATCTACTCTAGCAAAATTAAAAAAGGAAAAAAAAGCAAGCAAAATAATATGGTGTACTGGACACTTTTCTATGTGCTATGTGTGTATTATTTTACTTCTTGCTCATAATAATAATGTGAGGAAGAGCTATTGTTATCCTTATCTAATGATGAGAAAAGTAAGGCACAGAGAGTCTAAGCAACTTGCAAAATGTGACACACACACAGTCTGCAAGCTGAACAGCAGCACTGTATTGCTTCCCAATCCAAGAGATATAAGAAATGAATATGATAAAAGATAATAATAATAATAATAAGGAAACCTAGAGGAAATTAAGGGAATGTATTTGACATTGACAGTGACACTTGGGAGAGTATTTTTTAGAGCAGTGGTCCCCAACCTTTTTGGCCCCAGGGACCAATATCGTGGGAGACAATTTTTCCACAGATGTTGGGGGAGATGGATTTGGGATGAAACTGTTCTACCTCAGATCATCAGGCATTAGATCCTCATAAGGAGTGTACAAACTAGATGCCTCACATGTGCAGTTCACAATAGGGTCGTGCTCCTATCAGACTTGAATGCCTCTGCTAATCTGACAGGAGGAGGGGATCAGGGGATAATGTTCCCTAGCCTGCCAATCACCTTCTGCTGTGTGGCCTGTTCTTAACAGGCCATGGACCAGTACCGGTCCGTGGCCCAGGGTTTGAGGACCCCTGCTTTACAGGATAAAATTTTAGCGACAAAAAATTACATTTTTCTCTTTTTCTCTTCCTTTCATTCTTTCTTTTCTTTCTCTTTCTTTCTCTTCTCTTTCTCCTTCCTTCTCTTTCCTTCCTTCCTTCTTTCCCCTTCCTTTTCTTTTTTTTCTTTTCTTTCACAGGGCCTTGCTCCGTCCCCCAGGCTGGAATGCAGTGGCATGAACATAGCTCACTGCAGCTTCCACCTCCTGGGCTCAAGAGATCCTTTCACCTCAGCCTCCCAAGCAGCTGGGGCTACAGGCACAGGCCATCACACAAGGCTAATTTTTATACTTTTTGTAGGGATGGGGGTCTCATCATGTTGTCCAGACTGGTCTCAAACTCCTGGCCTCAAGTGATCCTCACACCTTGGCCTCTACAAGTGCTGGGATTCTAAGCATGAGCCACTGCGCCTAGCCTACCTTTTTTTTTTTTTTTTTTTTTTTTGAGATAGCGTCTCACTCTGTCAACTAGGCTGGAGTGTAGTGGCATGATCTCAGCTCACTGCAACCTCCACCTACTAGGTTCAAGCAATTCTCATGTCCCAGCCTCCTAAGTAGCTGGGATTATAGGTATGCACCACCACGTCCAGCTAATTTTTGTACTTTTAATAGACAGTGTTTCACCATGTTGGCCAGGCTGGTCTTGAACTCCTGACATCAAGTGATCCACCCGTGTCAGACTCACAGAGTGCATGAACCACCACACCTGTCCTGGAGCCTACTTTTAACTAGCTTCCCTCTCACAGAAGAAATAAAAACAAAATTGTTGATAAACATTAGAAGATAAGGGGGAAGACAAGGCAGGAGCTAGTTAAGTGTGCTAAGCTCCTCATCTTTTATGAAAGAGAATCAATAAATATTGTTTAAAGTTGGTAATTTTAGAAGTGGAAATAGAAGTACGTCATTTAAAATTATAATAACAACCAAAGAAAGTAAAAATAGAAGTCGTTTAAAAGCGTTTGCCTCTGGAGTGTGCAATGAAAAGAGAGTGGGGAGAAATGGGAGAGACACTTTATCTTTTTATTTCTTTCTCATCTGTTCTGATGCTTTGTATGCATTACAAATAGAAACTTAGCTACATATAAAGAGATAAATTACACTATATGTAGTGGAGGGAGATTTATATTCCATGGAGAGCATATCTTCTTGATTGTTCTTGGCCACATAGCAAAAAATAATAGCCACCCCCTGAGGAAAGCCTGTGGTACTGGCTGGTACCACCTGATGAGGGGGCTTCACAAGTTTTCCTAATTTTAGTCTAGTGTTAAAAAGCCCACATGTCCCAAGAAATAAGCCACATTGAACTATACTTGCTTTATCGATTATAAAGGTTATATTCTGGCCTTGACATTTTCACTTTTTTTGTTCTTGTTTTTGATTGGTTCAGAACTTGGTGGAAGAGAGGTGTGCTTTTTATGTGGGCCCCCGGCACATTCTAACATATTTAACAAGAAATATAATTGAGCATAAATTTGAAAGAGAGAAACAAGCACTGAATTACTTTACAACTTCTTAGCGTTTTTAAAATGTTGTAGGATGTTCAGAACCATTTGACACATTTCTTGAACTGAAACACAACATTTTTAGGTGGGGTGGAAGCAAATTTGGAACTTAAGAAATGGCCAAGCTTGTATTTCAATCTCTCTTCGTTATCCCATATCTCATGACTTAAAAGTGATTGGATAAAATAAAGATTTTTTTTTTTTTAAATCCAGTGTTGTGCAAAGTTTAAACTTCGCAGGTGAGGTCACAGGATTACTGAACCAAATCCTGTTTTGGGAGCTCACTCTTTGGCTTGAGAAGCTTTGTGGGTTTACAGCTTCATGCTTTCTCCTGTCACAAAAGCAAATCTTCTTCATTTGCATGGCAACTTCCCAGGGGAAAACCAGAAATTAGGACCTTGAGATCCCTTAGGTCCCAAAGCAAACTTGGAGATTCTGCTGTTTTTCTGCAACATGTTCTCCACTTTCCACATTTTCCACTTGTTTGCCAAGATGCTGAGAAATGGTAAAGCTGGGATGGGCCAACTCAGAGCAATCTGGCTTGACAGTCCACAACCTACGCTAAGGATGTGCATTTTACTCAACAGCTGTTTCTGTTTCACTCTAATTTGTTCAGGATTTGGTTGGGACCCCAGAGTTCACCTTTTGCAAAATATTTGTTAATTTTTGTTTTTAGCTGAGAAAATACCTTTTTCCCCTCCCAAGATGAGAACAATTTACTCTGGGATTGAAGATGGATTTGTATTATAGTTGCAGTGGAGATTTGTTCAATTGCTTCATAGCCATATACCCAATAGTCACTAATTCCTTTTAACAAGAAAATGGTAAACAGGTGGAGCTGAAATCATAGATAAATAAAGAGTCCTCTCCAATCCATTCAGCTGGGCCTTTGTAAAAGGAATTCCACCCAGCTGGTGGTGCACATGCTCAAACACATGAAGTATTTTTTTAAGCCAGCGTTGGAAATTATTGGAAATTAGGATAACAGGCTTATGAAATTCACTCATAAGACAGGACTCCAAAACAATCAGTATCATTTTGCTAATTGCCAAAACTCCTTTCTAGATATTGCCATCTTCATTTAGAAACTAATTCTTTTTAATTGAGGTATGTTGACAAATAAAAATTATATATTTTAAAGTGTATACTATGATGTTTTGATATGTACGTATACATTGTGAAAGCTAATTGGCATGACTCACATCGGTGCCATGTTAGTGTGCGTACTGACAACATTTAAGATCTGCTCTCAGCTAATTCTCTTGACAAATTCAAGTATACAATACATTATTATTCGCTCTGGTCACCATCAGTTCTCTAGAATTTACTCATAATTGAAATTTTGCACTCTTTGACCAATATCTCTGCTTTCTCCCCACTCCCCTGCCCCTGGTAACCACCATTCTCCTCTATGTTACTGTGAATTCAACTTTTTGTTTTGTTTTTTAGATTCCACATGTGAGATCAGGTAGTATTTATCTTTCTGTGTCTGACTTATTTCACATGCCATAACCGTTTCCCAGGTTCACACACGTTGTCACAAATGGCAGAATTTCTGTCCCTTCTTTTGTAAAGCTGAATAATATTCCATTGATATGTACATACACACACACCCCACATTTGTTATCCATTCATCTGTCACATAACATTTTTTTCTATATCTTGGCTATTGTGAATAATGCTGCAGTGAACACAGAAGTGCAAGTATCTCTTCTAGAGAGTGATTTTACTTTCTCAAGATATATACCCAGAAGTGGGGTTGCTGGATCATATAGTTGTTTTATTTTTAATTTTTTGGGAACTTTCATACTGTTTTCTAAAATGGCTGTACTAATATACATTCCCACCAGCACTGTATAAGGGTTCCCTTTTCTCCACATCCTTGCTAACACTTGCTATCTTTTAACTTTTTGATTGTTAGATCACCTCGCTTTGATCTTATAACAAAACCTCTAATATTATTGGTAGCAACTCTCTTCTATATTTTAAGTTGTTTTTGTTTTGTTTTTTTCTCTAATGAGAGGAGAAATGGCCTTTGTAATCCTTGCAGTCACAGTCATGGATCTGAAATTAACTTCTCTGAAATGTAGAAATTTTTTTTTCCTAAAAAGTATGTAATTCCGTGGGTCAGGCGCAGTGGCTCATGCCTGTAATCCCAGCACTGTGGGAGGCTGAGGTACGCGGATCACCTGAGGTCAGGAGTTTGAGACCAGCCTTACCAACACGGTGAAACTTCGTCTCTACTAAAAATACAAAAATTAGCCAGGTATGGTGGTAGGTGCCTGTAATCCCAGCTACTTGGGAGGCTGAGTTGAGAGAATCACTTGAACCTGGGAGGCAGAAATTGCAGTGTGCCAAGATTGCACTGCTGCACTCCAGCCTGGGTGACAGAGTGAGACTCCGTCTCAAAAAAAAAAAAAAAAGGATGTAATTCCTAAATTTGAAGAAAATATAACAAGACTATTGGTGAAGAAGATGCTCAAGCATATTCAATGAGACTCATATAGCCATGAGACCAAATCACAAGTCCATATAACTTGCCTTACCACTGTATTCAGTGTCAGGTTGCTACTTGTAAAGGACAATCTAATTCTTCTTTTAGATGGGTAGTATTTCATGGGCAGACACAAACACATGCATTCATTCACATAAACACATGGACATTATAGCTTCTTTCTTCCATGTCTAGTATGTATCCATAAGCAGTGTTATGTTTTGTTATTTTTGTTTTAACTCTTTGTTCATATATACATATATATGTGTATATATATATAATCTTAAACTTTCGAGTAACATTGAAACAAGTTTAATCAAAGCTTTATTATTAAAGAACACTCTATTATGATATTGTTCATTGTCCATGTAAGGTAACATATTCAACTGTCTTCTTAATTTGCTTTCTCTGCTTCCTGCAGACACCTACCGCACTGTTCCCAAACACTGGTCACTGAGACTCACAGTAATAAATATGCTCCATACTATGACTCTGCCCTCAAAACTGAAACCACAGTTTTATGAAATTATAGTTCTCTTTACTCTCTTTAATATCACGCTAGTATTTCTTGCTCAATTACGTGCCATTCTGGCCTACTTTATGTTTGTAACGAATGGTGGTAACAACCTGCAGCTTGGAAACTCCTTCCCCGTAGGATCTTTAATCTTTTCTTCTGCTCCTCTTAGATTGAATATTTAAGTAGCCCAAGCTACTCCAATCTATTATCTCATCCAGACCCCGAAGGATTCACTACCCAAGCTGCTAGGCTGAGAGGCAAGATTGTTCGAGTTCCCTCTATCTCCTTGACATCAAATTCTATCCTGGTGTCCCAAGGCTGGCTTGATCTTCAGTCCCACCCAGCATGGTCAAGCTCCATCCCATACTACCTTACACTAACCATGCAATGTCTCTCCCCCGCTGAACTATTATTTCCATTGACTCAGGAACTCTGATCAATTTGGCTTCAATTTTCCTCTCTTGCCCTTTCACCTCTCTTCTAACAGAGTCTTAGTCACCCAGTAGGTATTATGTTGGTTAAAGTTTTTTTTTTAATACTTAAGTAACCTTTGAAAATAGCACTAATGTATCGCACATATATCATGTTCCTCTAAGTTATATATTCAATTGAATAATATTTAATTCAATCTGTTCCCACAAATCCAATTTGACAAACAATTTGTGAGATTTCATTTCCAGATCTACTGAATCTCCAACAAAACAAACCTGCTTTCACTTTGAACTAAATGCTTCCAAACCTCCCGCTCTGCCTCTTCCTAGACTGACAGATGTATGACTAGGACACTCTCAGTCTTACATCAAATCATTAGTATGAAAACTTGCTGGCCCAAACACTGACACAACTGAAGAGAGGATCTTGAGCTGTTTATTCCACAACACTTTGTTTCCTTAATACCCCAAACTTGCCCTAAGCTCATTCCACGTCTTTTCCTCCCAGTTTCCTCTCTTCCCCTGTATTAGTCAGGGTTCTCTAGAGGGCCAGAACTAATCGGATATATGTATATATGAAAGGGAGTTTATTAAGGAGAATTGACTCAGCTTAGCTAGTCTGCTCTTTCATCTTCTCCTGCTTGCTTTATTCTAGCCACGCTGGCAGCTAATTAGATGGTACCCACCCAGAATGAGGGTGGGTCTGCCTCTCTCAGTCCACTGACTCAAATGTTAATCTCCTTTGGCAACACCCTCACAGACACACCCAGGAACAATACTTTGCATCCTTCAATCCAGTCAGGTTGACACTCAATATTAACCATCACATCCCCCTGTGCTGACTCTCCTGTCCATCCCCCACATCCCTCTGTGGAAGCTCTAGCCACTTCCTTCATGAGACCATCCCTGACCCGCAGTCCCCACTTACTCACATGTGCCTCTCTCTTACTTAACTTCTTTAAGTATCTTCTGTAGAGTTTACGCCCATTTCACTTATTCTCTGTGTTATAATTTATGAACCAACCTATTTTCCCCTAACCTCCCTCAACCTAACTACTCACACATCCCTAAGAGGTCACTAAGATAATGTATTTTTACATTACTTAGTTTTTCCAGAGCCTATTTCATAAAAATTATGGTAAAAGTATACACATCATAAAATTTACCATCTTAACCATTTTTGCATATACAGTTGAGCAGTATTAAGTACATTCATATTATGCAACCATCACTGCAATCCTTCTCCAGAATTATTTTGATCTTGCAAAACTGAAACTCTATACCCATTAAACAGCTTCCCATCTCCCTCTTCCCCTTTCCCTGCCATCTGCCATTCTATTTTACATCTCTACATATTTGACTATTCTAAACGTCTCATCTAAGTGAAATATAAAGTATTTGTATTTTGTGACTAGTTTGTCTCATTAAGCATGTCCTCAAGATTCATTCATGTTGTAGCGTGTGTCAGAATTGTCTTCCTTTTTAAGGCTGGGTAATATTCCATTTAATATGTATGTATCACATTTTGTTTATCTATTCATTTCTTTTCTTAAAAAATTATTTTGAGGTTTTATGGATATATCCATTCATTTGTCAGTGCACTCTTGGGTTGCTTCCACCTTTTGGCTATTACAAACAATGCTGATCAGAACATCAGTGTACAATATCTGTTCGAGTCCCTGTTTTTAATTCTTTGGGGTATAGACCAATAAGTGGAACTGCTGGATCATATGGTAATCCTATTTTTACTTTTTTGAGGAACTGCCATACTGTTTTTCAAAGTGGCTGCACTATTTTATATTCTTCCAGAGCCTTTGGAATGGTGGCTAGCACTGACGGCAGCTTAGTCAATTTAATTTAATTTTATCAAATCAAACCCATGAGTCACTCAAATTAAGATTGAAATGTACAATTATGTTGTTTTGAACTAAGGCTTAAAGGTTAAAAAACGGCATTAGTGTTTGTGACTTGTTTCCCTTTAGTAACCCATTAGTCTGAGTGTTATTTGTATCATTTCGAAAATGTAAGTCAGAAGAAACAAAATAGGGATATTCGTATTTCCCTGTATACATCTTACTGTATCTGTACTTAGTGAAGCATCTACCTTAATCAAATGACTAGTTAACACAGATCGGATCTAGAAAACTACCTCTCCCCAGGAGAATAGAAGCCTTGCTTGGGCAGTTCCAAACATGACCTAATACTGTACTCTCCATGCCCAGAGAAACTCTTCATTCTGCTATGTATCAATTACCGTCAAGCAATGGAAGAAAGTCTAAGTAAATTACAGTGCACTTGCAAAGTACAAAAGTTTGTGACTTTTGGAATAGCATTTGCAATGAATGTCATTTAATGATATGAGAAAAATTCCTATATTAATCATACTAGGTAAAAAATCAAAATATATTATTGTTCATACAATATGATCTCAATAGCACAAAAGAAAAAACCCTAAGCACAAAAAATAACCGGAACAAACCGTAACTAAATGTTAATGAATAATTTTATTCTGCCTATTTATACCTTATACATAGCCTCAATTCTCTTCAAATGAGTATTGCTTTTATAGTCATATAAAATACATATTTAAGAAAAATGCTATATGTAGGATTCATTGGAGCTGTGACAAAAGGCTGAATCCAAGGAAATACTCACCTTGGGCCTTCATTGTTGAATCAGAAAGAGAGTAGCCTGAGATTCTGAAGGAGCTGTCTCCCAGCAGCTGAGGAGTAACCTGAACAACCTGGGACAGCCAGTGGGAGAGAGCCAGGAGGGGCTGGTTGATGGCTGACTGACGTTTAGAAGTAAACGGGAAAAAGTTTTATCTGCATCCAACCTGCCCCACCATTGCATCCATTTACTCTCACCTCCCTCAGTAGCCAGGCCCTCAGCACAATCTCTCTTGCCTCCCCATCTCAGGTCCTTTATTCATGAAGACATGAAGACCAACTGACTCTGTGAGTCACCTCTGCATCTTAACAATCATCAATGTCTCAATCTAGACTCATGAATATCAGAGGATGGAATTCCAGGGGTCAGCATTTATTTACCCAAATATTTAATGAAAAGTCCACTAGTTGCCAAGCATCCACATCAGAGATGAAAAAATTCATCCAACTTCCTTTATGAACTCTTACTCTAGGCAGTAATGAAGACCCTGTTACAGGGGCTGGGGATATAACAGGGAACAAGATGAACAAAGCCCCTGTCCTTGTGGAGCTTGTAAACTTAGACCTTAGCCTTCTGTGAGCTACGTTCATTGGTATGTGCACCTTATTTTAGGTTCTGGTCAAGGAAAGACACAATTTTCTGACTCTAATTTAATTGCATTTAAGCAGTGGTCACAGTTAAATGAGATTAGCTGATTTGATAGAGGAGGGAAACCACAATTTTTATGGAATGATTGGAAAAGGTTTTA